>NC_000001.11:205154283-205305799 GCF_000001405.40 Homo sapiens
TTTCACCATGCTGTCAACTCTACTACTTTCTGATATGATTTGTCCCCATCCAAATTTCATCTTGAATTGTAACTCCCATAATCCCCACATGTCGTGGGAGGGACCTGATGGGAGGTAAGGGGTTTTTCCCCCCCTTTTGATCGGCACTTCTCCTTGCTGCCACCATGTGAAGAAGGACATGTTTGCTTCTTCCCCTTCCACTATGATGGTAAGCTTCCTGAGGCCTCTCCAGCCTTGCGGAACTGTGAGTCAATTAACCATTTTTCCTGTAAAAGGTACCCAGTCTCAGGTATGTCTTTATTAGCAGTGTGAGAATGGACTAACACAGTAAATTGTACCAAGAGTAGGCTGCTGCTGTAAGGATACATGAAATTGTGGAAGCGACTTTGGAACTGAGTAACAGACAGAGGCTGGAACAGTTTGGAGGGCTCAGAAGAAGACAGGAAAATGTGGGAAAGTTTGGAACTTCCTAGAGACTTGTTGAATGGCTTTGACCAAAATGCTGATAGTGATATGGACAATGATGTCCAGGCTAAGGTGGTCTCAGATGGAAATGAGGAACTTGTTGGGAACTGGAATAAAGGTCACTATTGCTGTGCAAGGAGACTGGAGGCATTTTGCCCCTGCCCTAGAGATCCGTGGAACTTGAACTTGAGAGAGATGACTCAGGGTATCTGGTGGAAGAAATTTATTTATTTATTTATTTATTTATTTATTTAGAGACAGAGCCTCACTCTGTCACCCAGGCTGGAGTGCAGTGGCGCAATCTCAGCTCACTGCAACCTCTGCCTCCCAGGTTCAAGCAATTCTCCTGCCTCAGCCTCCCAAGTAGCTGGGACTACAGGTGTGTGCCACCACACCCAGCTAATTTTTTATTTTTAGTAGAGACAGGGTTTCACCATGTTGGCCAGGCTGGCCTCGAACTCCTGACTTTAGGTGATCCACCCACCTTGGCCTCCCAAAGTGCTGGGATTACAGGTGTGAGCCACCATACCCACCCCGGAAGAAATTTCTAAGCAGCAAAGTGTTGAAGAGGAGGCAGAGCATAATAGTTTGAAAAATTTGCAGCCTGACAATGTGATAGAAAAGAAAACCTATTTTCTCGCTGGGTGCAGTGCCTCACGCCTAAAATTCCAGCACTTTGGGAGGCCGAGGTGGGCGGATCACTTGAGGTCTGGAGTTGGAGACCAGCCTGGCCAACATGGCAAAACCCTGTCTCTACTAAAAATACAAAAATTAGCCTGGCTGCCTGTAATCCCAGCTACTTGGGAGGCTGAGGCAGGAGAATCGCTTGAACCTGGGAGGTGGAGGTTACAGTGAGTTGAGATTGCGCCACTGCACTCCAGCCTGGGCAACAGAGCGAGACTCCATCTCAAAAAAATTTTTAAAAAAAAGAAAGGAAAAAAAAAAGAAAACCTATTTTCTGGGGGAGAAATTCAAGCCTGCTGCAGAAATTTTCGTAAGTAATGAGGAGCTGAATATTAACCAGCAAGACAATGGTAAAATTTCTCCAGGGCATGTCAGAGACCTTAACAGCAGCCCCTCCTATGACAGGCCTGGAGGTCTAGGAGGGAAAAATGGTTCTGTGGGCTGGGCCCAGGGCCCCCCTGCTGTATGCAGCCTTCGAACATGGTGCCCTGCATCCCAGCTGCTTCAGTTCCAGCTGTGGCTAAAAGGGGCCACCACATAGCTCAGGCCATTGCTTCAGAGGGTGCAAGCCCCAAATCTTGGCAGCTTACATGTGGTGTTGGGCCTGCAGGTGCATAGAAATCAAGAATTGTGGTTTGGGAACCTCCACCTAGATTTCAGAGGATGTATGGAAATGCCTGGATATCCAGGCAGAAGTTTGCTGCAGGGGTGGAGCCCCCATGGAGAACCTTTGCTAGGGCAATGCAGAAGGGATATGTGGGGTTGGAGCCCCCACAGAAAGTCCCCACTGGGACACTGCCTAGTGGAGCTGTGAGAAGAAGGCCACTGTCTTCTAGAACCCAGAAGGGTAGATCCACACACAACTTGCACCGTGTGCCTAGAAAAGCCACAGACACTCAACACCAGCCCATGAAAGCAGCCAGGAGGTAGGCTGTATCCTGCAAAGCCACAGGTGTGAAGATGCCCAATGCCATGGGAGACCACCTCTTGCATGAGTGTGCCCTGGATGTAAGACATGGAGTCAAAGAAGATGATTTTGGAACTGCAGGGTTTAATGACTGCCCTATTGGATTTCAGACTTGCATGGGCCCTGTAGCACCTTTGTTTTGGCCAATTTCTCTCATTTGGAATGGGTGTATTTACCCAATGCCTGTACCCTCATAGTATGTAGAAAGTAACTAACTTGCTTTTGATTTTACAGGCTCACAGGCAGAAGGGACTTGCGTTGTCTCAGATAAAACTTTGGACTTGGACTTTTGGATTAATGCTAGAATGAGTTAAGACTTTGGGGAACTGTTGGGAAGGCATGATTGTGTTTTGAAATGTGAGGACATGAGATCTGGGAGGGGCCAGGGGCAGAATGATATGGTTTGGCTGTGTCCCCACCCAAATCTCATCTTGAATTGTAGTTCCCATAATCTGCATGTGTTGTGGGAGGGACCCAGTGAGAGGTAATTTAATCATGGGGACAGTCACCCTCATGCTTTTCTCATGACAGTGAGTTCTAATGAGATCTGATGGTTTTGTAAGGGGCTTTACCCCCTTTTGTTCAGTACTTCTCCTTGCTGCTGCCATGTGAAGAAGAATGTGTTTATTTCCCCTTCCACCATAACTAAAAGTTTCCTGAGGCCTCTCCAACCCTGTGGAACTGTGAGTCAATTAAACCTCTTTCTTTATAAATTACCCAGTCTTAGGTATGTCTTTACTAGCAGCGTGAGAATGGACTAATACACTTTCTGTGAGGACTTTTCTTAGGATCTAACTTACATTTACATGTACCCTCCAAAATCACTCAGCCACAGAGGTAGGGTATAATCTTGGGGAAACAGCTTTTACTTACCAGCACATTTTTCAGTTTGATATCACGATGGACAAGTCCCTGGCTGTGCAGGAAGCGGATTCCCTCCACCACATCTAGTGCTATCTGCAAACGTGTCTCCAGGGTCAGCCCAGCCTTGGGGAGACAAAAGAGCTTACTTGTCATGATAAGGCAACTCCTCAATTCAACTGACTATACTAGGGCACATGAGGACAGAAAAGTGATTTTTAAAAAGGGGAAGAGCCGGGCACAGTGGCTCATGCCTGTAACCCCAGCACTTAGGGAGGCCAAGGTCAAGAATTTCAAGACCAGCCTGGCAAACATGGTGAAATCCTGTCTCTACTAAAAATGCAAAAAAGAATTAGCTGGATGTGGTGGCAGGTGCCTGTAATCCCAGCTACCTGGGAGGCTGAGGCAGGAGAATCACTTGAACCCAGGAGGCAGAGCTTGCAGTGAGTTGAGATGGTGCCACTGCACTTCAGCCTGGGTGACAGAGCAAGACTCTGTCTCAAAAAAAAAAAAAAAAGGTTGGGGGAGAAAAAGCAGTTAGGAGAGGGAAGTAGAGGAAAAGCAAGGAAGAGCAAGTTGTAAAGGAGACAAAGCCAGATAAAATCCCTTGCAGGCTGCAGTTAAGCCGAACAGATAACTTCAAATGTGACTAGCAGATAGAACCAAACAACTAAGGCATGAGCTCATTTCTAACACTTGAAAAAATTCTGGAACTGCCCTTGAGGCTCAAAGTGACTATTTCTAGGTCCCTCAGGAAGATTTATTTCCATTGCTTTACAGGCCTGGTTAGCCCAGGTTTGGTTTTATGGATTCAAATACCAAAGTCACTCATATTACTTCAATTCAGGGTCTCCTGAATACTGGAAAATGTCACATCACTCATTCAAAAGCTCAAAGGACATTCTCTAGCTCACTTGTGGAAATGCATCAGACAATGCTTAACTCCTCTGAAATGAAGAGGGAAAGCTGCTTGGAGAGTCATTTTCTTCATCATATTGATTCCTCATGACTCTGGGAAGCATTTCTAAGGTTTCCTCTGCCCTACTTCTGGAAGCCTCCATATAAACTGGTCCAAGAGGAATCTGTGAGAAGGGATCTACTCGGAGACTCTGAGGTCAGCTTTTCTCTCCTTCTACTCAGCTCCTACATAGGGAACAGACAAAAGAAACCTCTCTAATTCCCTCTTGGTGGTTTAGATAAGGGAAACTCAACATCCAACTGAGGGTTTCACCTTCACTCAAATAAAATCCTTTAGTAGCTTCTCACAGTCTATAACAGAATTCGAATTCTATGGAAATTCTTAACATTTTGGGTCTTATATAATTTGTTCCCAACATCTCTTTGCACATTATGTCTCCTGATTCCCAAAATGAACCAGCTGCTCCAATGTGCCCAGTGTCCTTACCGGCCTTCGAATGCTCTAGGCATTAAGCTGTTCCTTCCCCTTGCTATGGCCTCTTCCTTCCACTGCCCAAATTCTACCCATCATGGTATATTTGTCAAACTCAAACGCCACATCTTCCTGAAATGGTTGCTGACTACAATTCTCTTAATAGTGCCTGTCAATTATACCTTCTGATATCCTCTAATGGTGCTTAATGCTGGACCTTGTACAAAGCAGTCACTAATAAATATCTGTTGACTAAACAACAAAAACTAGCTTTATCCTCCTACAGCAAAAATGAGAAAGAAGAGCAGAGTTACAGGAAGCTATACTGCTCTTCTAAGGAGTTTAGATTTTTACTACCACCACAGGGGTCTGAGTGGTGATGACAGTATTCTGGGCATATAATGGGGTGAAAATAGGTTCTGATAAATCTTTAAAAATTTTTTTTTTTTATTTTTAGAGATAGGGTCTTGCTCTGTCACCCAGGCTAGGGTGCAGTGGCATGATCATAGCTCATTGCAGTCTCAACCTCCTAAGCGCAAGAGATCCTCCCAGCTCAGCACCCTCAAGTAGCTGGGACTACAGGTATGAGCCACCATACTCAGCTAACTTTTAATTTTTTATAGAGACGAAGTCTCCCTCTATTGCCCAGACTCGTCTCAAACTCCTGGACTCAAGTGATCCTCCCACCTTGGCCTCCCCACGTGCTGGGATTACAGGGGTGAGCCACCATGCCCAGCTGAGAAATCTTTAAGGGTTTTTGGAAATAAGTGAAATAAACCCTAATTACTCCAACAATCTCTGATGAAAGCTAAAAGCTCTTAATAAACAGGAGAGGATGAGTGGCCAGAAAGGAACCCGTGGATTTGGCTGCCAGCTGGATCTTGCTCTCTCCTTACCTTCAGCCCTGTGTAGAGATCCCGGTGTAGCCGCTCCATAATGAGGAGCACAGCAATGCTGGAGCCACCACCATAGTTGTAGTCAATGACTGAACCATGGAGATCCACCAATCGCTCATGCTTCGGCAGAGACCTGGAGGGAAGGAGAGAGATCTGGGCTACAAGGCTTGGGCTCTAATCCTGCATGCCATGCCACAATGTATGAGACAATAATTTCCAGACCATGCTTAGGACAGGTCCAGAGGTAATGGCCCTCAGTGCAGACAGAGCCCTCAGTACAGACAGAGCATGGCCTCTTCAACAAGGATGAAGAATCCTGGATTCTAAAAACTGATAAGGCTTAAGGACTAAAGAAGAAAGTTAAATGGAATGATGAGTCTGAGAAATTAGGATGGTGGGGAAAGAGCAAGCAAAGACAGTAAAGGCCTGAAAGGGAGCACATGTCTGTTAGACACAGAAAACTAAATATAGAGAGGCCATGCTGTAGCTCTTGGTACAAAATCTAAACCAGGGTTCTAGATTCTTCTCTGGATCTTTCTCATAGAGATGAATGAGGCCAGGACCCACCTCATATAGTGAAATTCCAAAGCCAGATCATTCCAGTGCTTCTCATCTGGAGGGACAACTGATTTGAGGGCACAAGGGAAGTGTCCTCCCCAGTTGTCACACAGGTATACCACACCATACTGGCCCCGGCCCAGTTCCTGTCCCAGTTTAGGTTTACCTATAAGGTACAGAGACAGAGATAAGGCAGGAGGAATGGGAACTTCGTGGGCAACCTCTGTAAGATTCTTTTTTTTTTTTTTTGAGACAGAGTCTTGTTCTGTCACCCAAGCAGGAGTGCAGTGGCATGATCTCTGCTCACTGCAACCTCTGCCTCCTGGGTTCAAGCGATTATTCTGCCTCAGGCTCCCAAGTAGTTGGGATTACAGGCATACGCCACCACGCACAGCTAATTTTTACAGTTTTATTAGAGACGGGGTTTTGCCACATTGCCCAGGGTGGTCCCGAACTCCTGGGCTCAAGTGATCCACCCACCGTGGCCTCCCAAAGTACTGGGATTACAGGCATAAGCCACCATGCTGGCCCTGTAACATTCTTCATTGTGAACCTGCCTTTAGGGTCAGGAAGCTGTAATCAAGCCCAGGGATAAAATTCTAGTGTCATTCTAACCCAATAGAAAATAATCTAACTGGTTTAATTCAAATAAACTGTGGTTATGTGGTTTTTTGTTTTTTGTTGTTTTTTTTTTTGGAGACAGAGTCTTGCTCTGTCACCCAGGCTGCAGTGCAGTGGTATGATCTTGGCTCACTGCAACCTCTACTTCCTGGGTTCAAGTGAATCTTCTGCCTGAGCCTCCTGAGGAGCTGGGGTTGCAAAGTGCCACCACGCCCAGCTAATTTTTTTAGTAGAGATGGGGTCTTGCCATATCGCCTAGGCTGGTCTTGAACTTCTGAGCTCAGGCAGTCCACCCACCTCAGCCTCCCAAAGTACTAAGATTACAGGTGTGAGCCACCACACCTGGCCTGGTCATGTTATTTGAACTATATAAATAGCAGGAAGAGACTTTAGGAATTCAAAAACATCAGTAAGGGTTTAGGCAGCTTTGCAAAGAAGCAGCTTTAGACACTAGGATTCTCTGAGGCTGGACATAAGAATGTCAGGTATCCTGAACCATCCTCCAGTTTATCTAGAAGAAAACCAGACTCACGATGAAGCAAGACATCCTGTAAAGAACAGCTTTCCAGAGAAAGGCGGGCCAGGCGGGGAGCATGATCTTTCCGAACCCTCAGCCATAGATCTTCCGTTTTCTCTAACCGGCCTGAGTGGCCAGCTTCCAGCTGGGAGAGAAACAGAAAAAGTACATATGACTTAAGTCCCTAGCTTCAGCTTCCTCACCTGTTATACAGGGATAATAATATCTACTTCATATAGATAATTGTGAGAATTAAACAAGATACATGTAACATGTTTAGCACAGAGACTGGCACAGAGTAGACTCTCAATAAATAATAACTTTTCCTCCTGGATGCATACTCACATCTATCCACTCTCTGCCTGGACACACCCACTCCCCGCCAGTGGACAATCAGATGTCAAACAATTATGAAATATAGAAGTTGGAAAGTCATGTCCTTCTGTCATTTGTTCCTAAAATACTATATAAACATACAAAATTCCTACTCCTATTATCTTTCCTCACTCTGAAATGGGCAGGAATTAACTGAGCTCACTCCATTCTCCCGAGAGTTAGGAAAATATCCACATGAAAAATTTATTGAAAAAACTTCCTATAACAATCTAGAAAGAAAATATACTGATGATTTTAATATACATATGTGTGTGTGTGTATATATATGTGTATATATATGTATACACACACAGACACACACACATATTATATATGAAGAGCGGAGAGCGAAATATTCCCATCTGGATGAGGCTCTTCTCTGCTTGATCCAGCTGTATCTCCTTTCCTACATACCAACCTGCCGCAAGGAGGCTGCAAAAGCCTCGTGGGAACTATTGAGCCGAGTCCGGAATTGGCTGCAAATGCTCTTAGCCAATTTGGAGGCGCTGAGGCTCTCAATGGCTTCCTGGGCCACCTTCCTCTTCCATTCCAGAGTGATGGCAGGTGGGCTCACCCATGTGATGCGCTGGATGATCTACCAGGATGAAGACAGCGAGATCACCAAGGAATGAGAGACAAGAACCACTACAAAGATCCAGTGTCCTTCCTTTTCTGGGTTACCCATTCATTAAGAGCAGGCTCATAAGATGGGAGCCATACGAAGTCCAAAGTTCCTTTCCAATTCCATCTACCACAAAATCAGGTCCTAGCCCAGAGAAAAGCATCAAAGAACACCAGGCCTAGTCTACATGCTCACAAACCCTCAATATATTACATTCAGTGCCAGGGAGTGCCTGATAATCTTTCTGAAGTCAGTAAATAACTCTACATAAGAGCCAGATCAAATTCCAGAACAGAAACCACATTCACAGCCTCTGGCAACAACAAAGCCTAGTTCTGAGAAAAGATTTAGGCTGGGAAAAAGAAATATGAAGAAGCTAGTGTGGTAGAGTCTTATGGCTCCATGAAATATCATTTATCTTTTTTTTCTATTTTTCCATTGTCCACAAAGAGCACCCAACATAAAAATCATTTAAACCCAAAACTTCTGAGAGTTCAAGGGAACAATGTTAATAATTATTTAAGAATAGGCATAAACCAGAATTCTCCCAGGCAGGCAAACCAGAACAAATGGTCACCCTGCCTTAACAGAAGATCCTAGATATCTGTTTCCTACTGGGGTCACTATGATTCATTTGAGCCAACTAGGGGCTTTGAAATCTTTCTCTAAGTAATAATCCCTACCTGTTTGATTTGCTCCCATAGCATCCTTGTAACTGACGACCCTGAGTGAAACGTGACTTCAACATGATAGGCAGCATTTAAGATCTGAAAGAGACAACGCCAAAGAAAACATGTCCTCAGTAGTGTGGCTATTTTAAAAATGCAATAAATGATACTTATTTCAAGAACACAGTCCAGACTCAGGGTTTCCAAACTTACCCCTCAATATATATGCAGAGTCAACTTAAGCTGATTATTTATTTTGTGACTATCTAGCCCCTTCTACCTCATCTTTATATTCATCAACTTATTTTTTTATTTTTTTTTTTATTTTTTAGACAGAGTTTCACTCTTGTCCCCCAGGCTGAAGTGCAATGGCGTGATCTTGGCTCACCGAAACCTCTGCCTCCCAGGTTCAAGCGATTCTCCTGCCTCAGCCTCCCAAGTAGCTGGGATTACAGGCATGCACCACCACGCCCAGCTAATTTTGTATTTTTAGTAGAGATGGGATTTCTCCATGTTGGTCAGGCTGGTCTCCAACTCCCAACCTCAGGTTATCCGCCCACCTCAGCCTCCCAAAGTGCTGGGATTACAGGCGTGAGCCACTGTGCCTGGCCTATATTCATCAACTTAACTGCAGTTTTACAGCTCACCAACATCTCCCACAGGCAGTGGTCATGTGACAGGAAAACAAAATAAAATTCAAACAAGATTCGCAAGAAGCTGAAAGGGAAATTCTTGCCTAATTTGAAGTGTGGACTTGTGCAGATTTTTCATGTGCTATCTATGACACGATGTCTTAAAAATCATTCTTTGTCTACCTGTTTGAGATAATTACTGGTGATGTGAACTGAGACATCCTGAGACTTCTCCAGGCTCTGCAGACATCGTTCCAGGGTTCCGACGAAGCTTTCCCTCAGGTAATCCACTGAGCTGATCAGCTTATTAGCCACTGCCTGATTAAGTCGGGAGATGATGAGTTCCTGGATCTGTCGGATGCAGCATTTGATCTCTCTGGTGCCTACTGGTTCTCCATTCTCAGGGACAATGACGTCTATGGAGGCAGAGAAATAAGCTGAATAGTTGTGAGGAAGAAGGGGCAGACACACTAAATAAAGTCATCTCCCAAATCAGAACCATGGAACTACCGTGATGATGATGGCTGCAAAAAGACATGATTCGTTGATGATGTCTAACTCTCACAATGATCAGGGGTCACGTAACCCTCAACTACTAAAGGCAGCTAAGATCCTGAGAAGAAGCAATTAAGTCCAGGTGCAGTGATTCACGCCTGTAATTCCAAAACTTTGGGAGGCTGAGGCAGGAGGATTGCTTGAGCCCAGGAGTTCAAGATGAGCTTGGGTAACAGTGAGACCTCATCTCTACAAAAAGTAAAAAGATGAGGCAGGCGGGAGGATGGCTTGAACCTAGGAAGTAGAGGCTACAATGAGCTGTGATTGTGCCACTGCACTCCTGCCTGGGTGATGGGAGTGAGACCCCGTCTCAAAAAAAAAAAATAAATAAGAAGCAATAAGTCTAGAATGAGACTGTTGATTTTGTTAGCTTTTTTTTTTTTTTGAGACGGAGTCTCGCTGTGTCGCCCAGGCTGGAGTGGAGTGATGCAATCTCGGCTCACTGCAAGCTCCGCCTCCCGAGTTCAAGCCATTCTCCTGCCTCAGCCTCCCGAGTAGCTGCGACTACAGGCACCCGCCACCACGCCTGGCTGATTTTTTGTATTTTTAGTAGAGACGGGGTTTCCCCATGTTGGCCAGGATGGTCTCGATCTCCTGACCTCGTGATCTGCCCACCTCGGCCTCCCAAAGTGCTGGGATTACAGGTGTGAGCCACCGTGCCCGGCAATTTTGTTAGCTTTTATGTCACATTTATAGGAGGGGAGGAACAACATTTATGAAGTGCAAACTATTTGAAAGGCACTAAAATAAGGATTTTACACATGTAATCTAATTTCATCTTCACAATAACTTTGTTACATGGGTATTATAGATCAGGAAACAGCCTCAAAGAGAGAACAAAGTAGACATGGGAAGGGAATAGTACAGTTAGGAAGTAATACAGCCAGCTTTTGAACCCAGTGCTCATTATTCCAAATCCTATGATCTTTGCAAAATTTCACACTCCCTAGCATATTAATGAGAAAAACCCAAGAGTCAGGAATTGTATTCTATGTTTTGTTTTGTTTTGCTTTTTTTGAGACTGAGTTTAGCTCTATCGCCTAGGCTGGAGTGCAGTGGCACGATCTCGGCTCACTGCAACCTCCGCCTTCTGGGTTCAAGTGATCTTGTGCCTCAGCCTCCCAAGTACCTAGGATTACAGGCACCCACCACCACGCCAGACTAATTTTTGTATTTAGTAGAGATGGGGTTTCACCATGTTGGCCAGGCTGGTCTTGAACTCCTGACCTCAGGTGATCCGCTCACCTTGGCCTCCCAAAGTGCTGAGATTACAGGCATGAGCCATTGCCGCCGGCCAGGAATTTTATTCTAATCAATTACTAGATAAATAAAAAGTAAAACTCAATTGTCCCCACCATGCCACACTATCTCTTAGGATTAGAACATCTATTAATGTTGTAAATCAGAGGACAGAAGAACTTGAGAGAAGTCAAACTACTTGCAAAAAGATGTGCTCCTGAAAAGGCACTCTCATGTCTACTGGTGGAAACTTAAATGGGTGCCACTTCTTCAGAGGAAATTTGGCAATATCTATTAAAATGTTCAACCAACCAAGAAAAATCTACATACCCTTTGATCTAACTATTTTGCTTCTAGGAATTCTTTTTCTTGAGATATACCCTTACAAGTCCCAAGGTGTATATGTACAATGATGATTAATGCAGTACATTTTGTATTAGCGAAAGAGAAAATAAAAAATAAACAAATAAGCCTGGCCAACATGGTGAAACCCTGTCTCTACTAAATACAGGTATGATGGTGTGATGGTGCACACCTTTAGACCCAGGTGTGATGGTGCACACCTTTAGACCCAGCTACTAGGGAGGCTGAGGTGGGAGGATTCCTTGAACCCAGGAGGCGGAGGTTGTAGTGAGACTAGACCAGGCCTCTGCACTCCAGCCTGGGCGACAGAACAAGATCCTGTCTCAAAAAAAAATAAATAAATAAAAATAAAAAACAAAAACAAACAGCTTAAATGTCCACCAATGAGAGAATAGTTCAATAAATTCAGGCATATCCATTAGAAGAAGACAAATTTGTATGAATATTTATGGAATGCCCTCTAAGATACATATTAAATGAAAAAGACAAGTGCAGAAGAACATATGGAGAAGAACTGGGTGGCTGGGGGATGGTGTCTTTATAACTCTGAGTTAAGTACTATACATATAGGTTTTATCTTAAAAATAAATTTTATAAAGTGTGAATATCATGATACCTAGCACATATGCATTGTCTTTATTTAAAAACAGACAGTAATAGTAATCTGGCTCAACGCTGGGCACGATGGCTCATACCTGTAATCCTAGCACTTTGTGGGGGCTGAAGCAGGAGGATCGCTACAAGCCTGGGCAACACAGCAAGACCTCGTCTTTACAAAAAAAAAAAAAAATCTGGCTCCATAGAATATGTGCTAGCTTGCTTCTAAATCTTCTTATTGTTTCAAGGATACTCAGAAAGCACTTAGAACAAGGTAAGAACAATCGGATACTTTACTGTCTGCCCAACCTAGCTGTCCTGACCTCCATTCTGTGTAATATGATGCCGGCAGTGATGCTCTGGTGTCTTTAATCAAATATTGAGAAGACTTCCTAAGATTTCCACTGCAAGTAACACTTCTCAACAACTCCTCTCGCAGTGGGGAATTAACCAAAGAGGTATCTCTGTTCATCTTTAGAATGACTATAAGAAATCAGGCAACCTATGTTTGCTAAAGTCAACCATACTTCCTTTGTATTTATAAGTGTAACTTAAACTAGATACCATCATTCACACACTCATTGATTCTCCAAAGACGTACTGTATACAAGAGTCTGTGTTATTTGCTGCAAGGAATATGATGATGAATAAGACCCAGATCCTACCCTCTTTCAACTCTAGGATTTTAGGAAGTAGTCCGCAGTACATAAATAACTATAATAAAAGATAGAAAGTGAAATATGCCAGAAATAAGTTACAGATGGAATGCTATGGGATTTCAAATGACTGCAATTGTTATTAGCTAAGAAAATTAAAGCAGGGCTAGGTGTGATGGCTCATGCCTATAATCCCAGCACTTTTTAGGAGGCCGAGGTGGGAGGATTGCTTGAGACCAGGAGTTCAAGACCAGCTTGGCCAACATGGTGAAACCCCTGTCTCTAAAAAAAAATACAAAAAGTTAGCTGGTGTGGTGGCATGTGCCTGTAGTCCCAGGTGTGCAGGGGGCTGAGGCAGGAGGATTGCTTGAGCCCAGGAGATTGGGGCTGCAGTGAGCCATGACTGCACTACTGCACTCCAGTCTGGATGGCAGAGCAAGAACCTGTCCCAAAAATAAAAAAAGAAGGAGAAAATTAAAGAAGACTTCATGAAAAATGGCATTTGGGAGACAGGCCCTGATGGGTAGGTAGGATTTGGAAGTTCACAGACAAATCAAAGACATTCCAGGTTTAAGGCAGGGTGTTAGCAAAGAAAAAGTAAAGGGAGCGTATGGAGGACAGAAAGAAGTTAAGACCAACTGACATAGAAAATACAGGAAAGTGCATAGTGGGGAAATAAGACTGGAAAAGTTGGTAAGGGCTAGGCTTTGGGAGGTCTTTAATACTAGGTGTAGGAGTTAAACTTAGTCTGTAGAAGTAGGGAGCCAGTAAAGGTGAACTGAAGAAAGAAGTCAGGGAGATCAGTTAGATAACAATAGTTCAGTTAGACTTAAGACAGAATAGAAAAGCATAGATAGGTATCGAATACGTAAGAAGATTAATCGAGGCCAGGTGTGGTGGCTCACGCCACCCAGCACTTCGGGAGGCCGAGGCGGGTAGATTACGAGGTCAAGAACATCCTGGCCAACATGATGAAACCCCGTCTCTACTAAAATACAAAAAAAAATTTAGCCGGGAACGGTGGCACACGCCTGTAATCCCAGTTACTCGGGAGGCTGAGGCAGGGGAATTGCTTGAACCCAGGAGGCGGAGGTTGCAGTGAGTCAAGATCACGCCACTGCACTCCAGCCTGGGCGACAGAGCGAGACTTAATCTCAAAAAAAAGAAAGATTAATCAGTACTTGGCAACTGATTAGCCAAGGGAAGACAATTCAAGACCATGCTGAGGTTTTGAAGGTGGGTACCAGGAAGAAGGTGGCATCAGTAACTGGAAACAGATTAAGAAGCAGTAAAGGATGGAAATTAAGAATATGGGCTCAGGAATCAGACTGTCTGGATTCAAATCCTGCCTCTAATATTTACTAGCTGTGTGACCCTGGGCAAATTACTTACTCTTTCTAAGCCTTAGTCCCTCATCTAGAAAAAGGAAATAAGCAGAATCTACCTAGGGAGGTTATTTTTTAAAAATACTGATGCTGGGTCCCATGTCAGAAATCGTGAGTAAGTCTGCAGTCATCTTTAGTGGTCTTGAGCATGTGTATTTTCAGAAAGCCTCCCAAGGGATTAGGATACTCACAACTGAGACTCTAAAGGGTAACTTGCAAACCATGTCATTTTAATCTTGCATGGAGGTTTATACAGAAGTCAGTATACAAAATCAGCAGCATCTCAGACACCCAAAGACCTGACCAATCACTTTCACCCAATTTTGTTAGTAGCCATTTGTGAAGAATAGGACTGTCAAAAGGCTAAAAACACAACTTTGGGAAATCCTCCTGATGTGGGCTTCAGAAGCAGCCTGAAAGGAAATTAGACCATGAGACAAAAAGAACCAATAAAGAGGCATGAGCCATACTGCAGGAGCAAAGGTTAAAGCACAATTTACTAACATTCTCCAAGCAGCTCTTCTCCAGCTCCATTAGGGGTTGAGGGGGTACAGGCAGAAAGTGGAGATTACAGAGCTATTAGGATGAATTTACCAAAAGTTGAGCTAATGTTCTTGGGAAGGAATGAGGGTGGAATCTTCCACAATGATCTTTGAGAGCAAGAGAGGCCACCTTGGCTAAATAGTGGGCTCCTGCTGGTAACAGTGGGGTGGATGAAGTTACCCTGAGATTCCTTTAACCTTAGGAATTAACGTTCTTAATTTCCGGCTAGAAAATGGTTAGAGACTCCTCCCGTGCCAGCACCCCAACAAGCTCTCTGGGACCTACCTTTAAACTCCATGTTAGTAGCATCATCCAGAAGTTCCTCCTTCATGGTATTAAGTGTCTCAACAATCATATCCTTCATTTCCTCCTGCTTTCGGTTGGCAATATTCATCAATGATTCATACAACTCATTCTCCTTTTTTCGAGTATATTCCAGACGTTTGGGAGTGATCTGCAGGTCCCGCTGCATGTCAAATGCCTGGTTAATAAAGATGTCAAGGCAGTGGCAGTGCACCAGGTTCAGGGCCTTGGCTGCATCCACCAGGCGAGTCTGTAACACCTGGTGAGAAAATGTGCTCAAGTGTCTCAGCTTTTCACTCTGTTCCACCAACATGCTCTGAGCTTTAGTATCCTGGCCAGGAGCCCCACAGTTCCAGTGACTGCTGCTCAGATAGCCCAGGTCAATTAGCTGGCGATAAAGCGGTGATCTTTCGCTCTCCATTCTCCTGGTTGAGGAGTCTATTATCTCCGAGCCCAGTTTCGGCACTTTGAAAAAGAATACAGGAAAGGAGAAATACTTTCGGATTTCCTGAAGCTCTTGCTCATCCCTCTCAGAGAGTTCATCTTTGTGGAGTGCATAGGTTATCACAGGCAAGAAATCATTCACCAAGTCACCCAGAACATCCACTGTGGGCCGGAGGCCTTGGCATGGTGCTACCACAACGTCCACTTCCTGGAAGGGGAAGGGGGTCATATATCAGCGCCTCAGGGTCAGAACCAATCCCTGTCTCCCCAAAGTCCCACACTGAGACCAAAATCCTGATCTACAATGGAACAATTGGACTTCGGTACCCCAGCCATTGATCCACCTCCTTCCTCGGTTACCAACACTCCCTGGTGCAGCCTATGAAGGCAGGCACTCATCTAGAGAGAGTGAAAAAACAAAGAAGTAGAAAGGATGGCAACCCCTTTAGCCATCAGATTAAAAAAAAATTTTGGTCTCTGCCTTCCTTTATTGCTTAGACATTCCCACTGATTCCCTCTGATGAAGAATTAAGACAAATAATGGAAGAAAAAGGAATTGTAATGGAAATTATCAGACTGGGAGTGAGTCGACCTGGGGCACTCCTCCCCCTCTTGCTCTCCTCTGACACCTCCATCCCTGCCATTCTGACCTGGCTAACTCCTAAGCATCCTTTAAGTTTCAATGTATATGTTATGACATATCCTTATAGAGCCTTTCCTATCACACAGCCCCAACCAAGCACACTTTACTTCCCTCTTCTTAAGGTTCAACATATTTATAATCCACTTCTTTAAAACCTTTCTTTCCCCCATGGGTCTGTAAACTCTTTGAGGGCAGGGACTGGGTCTATTTTGCTTACTATCGTAGCTCCAGTGCCTAGCATGTGGTAAGTCCTAAATACTGTTGAATTAATCAATTAAGCAGGAAACGAAAAGCCAGGTTCACCAAACATTATTACTGTCCTGTTCTGAGTCTGTAGATATCCCGAAGTCTTAGCAACCTAAGTCTAAGAAATACCTTTAGGAATATGATCGATCACTTGGTATGGCAAAGACCAAGGTTTGCCTATCCAATATCTAGTCTCCATGTTATAAGTGAAGGCAATGTCCTTTACAGATAGGGGTATCCGATAAGTGGGTGGGGTTTCCAGGAAAGCCCTTTAGGGTACAGGGGGTGGATTCTACCAGGAAATATGTCCTTTGGCCTTGTCCTTCTTCCTGCTTGGAGCACAGATGTGACAGCTAGAACAGCAGCGATCACTCAGCAGCCCTAAGGCAAACCTGATGGTGGAAGCCAGCACTAAAGATGATGACACCAAAAGAAAGAGGGAGCTTAGGTCTCTGGTGATCACAGAACTGCCATGCCAGCTCTCAGTTACCTAGCTTCAGACTTCTTTCATGTAAGGAAAAAAAAAAAAACCCAAAAACTCTATCTTTAAGTTCCTGGTTTTTTTGTGTTTGTTTGTTTGATGATCTGTTACAATTGAACCTAATCCTAACTGAAATACCCAAGTTTGCTAAAGTG
Organism: Homo sapiens; assembly: GCF_000001405.40. NCBI lineage: Eukaryota > Metazoa > Chordata > Mammalia > Primates > Hominidae > Homo > Homo sapiens. The sequence continues at coordinate 205,171,150 of NC_000001.11, forward strand.
AGTTTCGAGAATGATCTTTAAGCTCGGCGCAGTGGCTCACACCTGTAATCCCAGCCCTTGGGAGTCCAAGGCAGGAGGATCGCTTGAGGTCAGGAGTTTGAGATCAGCCTGGCCAAGATGGCAAAACCCCATCTGTACTAAAAATACAAAAATTATCCGGGTGTGGTGGTGGGCGCCTGTAGCCCCAGCTACTCCAGAGACTGAGGCAGGAGAACGGCTTGAACCCAGGAGGCGGAGGTTGCAGTGAGCTGAGATCGCCCCACTGCACTCCAGCTTGGGCGACAAAGCAAGACTCTGTCTCAATTAAAAAAAAAAAAAAAAAAAAAGATCTTTGAGGTTTGAGGTTTAGAAACAAACCTTCCACAGGTCCTTTGCCTCGTCTGCACTTTCCACTTTGTGTTCTGCTTCTTTCCTGTGAAGGTTCCAAACACACAAGAGCATATGTCCATCTACTGCATTTCCATCCATTGCACAGGTTGTTCCTCTGTGTCTCTGACATTGTCTACTTTGCCTGGCATTCCAGGTGTAAACGGTTAACTAGGGACTCACACATATTAATATATTACCACTGTAGGTACACAGACTCCTGATGTCTTCAAGGGTCTGTAAACTCAGAATCAATCCTCCATAGAATTCTAGCATATTTTAGAGTTATAAAAGAACTCAACACAAATATGCTCAAGTTTGTGTCCTTAACAGTTATCAGATGTTGAATATTTACTTTGTCTGAAGTCTAAAAGATACACAATTTCGTTTCTTTCAGATGATTATGCTGTTTTTATTTCTTACCCTATCTGAGCAGCAGGTTTATTGATTGATTGATTGAGATGCAGTCTCACTCTGTCACCCATGCTGGAGTGCAATGGCACGAGCTCGGCTCACTGCAACCTCTGCCTCCTGGGTTCAAGTGAATTCTCCTGCCTCAGCCTCCCGAGTAGCTGGGATTACAGGCACGCACCACCACGCCCGGCTAATTTTTGTATTTTTAGTAGAGATGGGGTTTCACCATGTTGGCCGGGCTGGTCTTGAACTGCTGACCTCAAGTGATCCACCTGCCTCAGACTCCCAAAGTGCTGGGATTACAGGTGTGAGCCACCACACCCAGCATGAGCAGTAGGTATTTTTGATAAAAGTTTTTCTGTTTGTTTGTGGTTTTTTTTTTTTTTCTGAGACAAGGTCTTGTGCTGTTGCCCAGCCTGGAGTGCAGTGGTGCAATTAAGGTTCACTGTAGTCTCAACCTCCCAGGCTCAAGTGGTCCTCCCACCTCAGCCACCCAAGTAGCTGATACTACAGGTGTGAGCCACTACGCCCAGCTAATTTTCATTCTTTTTTGGGTTTTTTTTTTTTGGTAGAGATGGGGTTTTGCCATGTTGCCCAGGTTGGTCTTGAACTCCTGAGCTCAAGCGATCTGCGCCTCAGCCTCCCAAAGTGCTGAGATTACAGGTGTGAACCACTGTGCCCAGCCTTGAGTTTTTAAAATCTTTTTTATTTCCAACAAAGCACAAATATCTCACTTTCTTTTCTCACAAAGAACTATGCTATATTCTCAGATAGGTCACATAACTTTAATTTGCCTGGCCACTTTGAACTCCCTAAAGCTCAAAGTGCTTTTAGCATCTCACCATTTGTCATTTTAGCAAACACTACATAAGTCAATCCACCCTTTATCCAACCCCAAGCCAAGAAGAAATTTGCTGTTTCATCTGTGTCTCAAGTTGCATGGAATGTTTTCTGGTTGGAAGACTAGTCTGATGCTCATCTTGCTATTCAAAACAAACCCCCTTTCACTACCCTGAGTCACACATGCTACAGTATGAATCATTTCAGTCAGGCATATTCAAAAAGTTGGTAAGTAACAAATTTTAAGGTTTAAAATAGAACATACAACTGCATAAATGACAACATTATAATCACATATAACAATGAGATAAAGACTAAAAGGAAAGGAAAACAGTTACATTAGGCTGGGTGTGGTGGCTCACACTTGTAATCCCAGCACTTTGGGAGGCTGGGGTGGGCAGATCGTTTGAGGTCAGGAGTTCAAGACCAGCCTGGCCAATATGGGGAGACCCCGTCTCTACTGAAAATACAAAAATTAGCCAGACATGCTGGTGCACACCTATAATTCCAGCTACTCAGGAAGCTGAGGCAGGAGAATTGCTTGAACCGAGGAGACGGAGGCTGCAGTGAACTGAGATCACACCATGCACTCCAACCTGGGTGACAGAATGAGACTGTCTCAAAAAAAAAAAAAAAAAAAAAGAAAAGAAAAGAAAACAGTTACATTAAAGTAAAGAATTATAGGTGGAAATATTTTTTATATTACAAAGCTGCCCTAAAGACATATTTTTTAAAAGATATAAATCAACCAATCAAATTTATGAAAGGAAAGCCTAAATATTCAAAACCAAAGTATTGTTTAGAAATTTCAGGAAGAATTTTGTTTGTTTTTTCTGATGGATTATCTTAAAATTCTAGAATAAATTTTCAGGTTTTCCTTAAAGGACCATTTTGTGTGCACAACAGAAACATCAGCCAAAGCTGCCAAGTCCATTTGTAAGACCAATACGGTTGTTTTTTTTTTTTTGAGATGAAGTCTCGCTCTGTCGCCCAGGCTGGAGCGCAGTGGCACGATCTTGGCTCACTGCAACCTCTGCCTCCTGGGTTCAAGTGATTCTCCTGCCTCAGCTTCCTGAGTAGCTGGGATTACAAGGCATGTGCCACCATGCCCAGCTAATTTTTGTATTTTTTGGTAGAGATGGGTTTTGCCATGTTAGCAAGGCTGGTCTTGAACTCCTAACCTCAGGTGATCTGCCTGCCCCAGCCTCCCAAAGTGCTGGGATTATAGGCGTGAGCCACCATGCCTGGCCCAATACTGTTTTTAAGAGACCAGCTGACTTTATTTGCTCATAGGTGTAAATTCATTATTAAAGAAATGAATTTTGGAAGTCAGGCACAGTGGCTCATGCCTGTAATCCCAGCACTCTGGGAGGTTGAGGTGGGCAGATTGCTTGAGGCCAGGAGTTCGGGACCAGCCTGGCCAACATGGCCAAAACCAGTCTCTATTAAAAATACAAAAATTAGGCTGGGCAAGGTGGCTCACACCTGTAATCCCAGCACTTTGGGAGGCCGAGGCAGGTGGATCACGAAGTCAGGAGTTCAAGATCAGCTTGGCCAATATGGTGAAACCCTGTCTCTACTAAAAATACAAAAATTAGCTGAGTGTGGTGGCACAAGCCTGTAGTCCCAGCTACTCAGGAGGCTGAGGCAGAAGAATCACTTGAACCCAGAAGGAGGAGGTTGCAGTGAGCTGAGATCATGCCATTGTACTCCAGAATGGGTGACAGAGTGAGACTCCGTCTCCAAAAAAAAAAAAAAAAAAAATTAGCTGGGCATGGTGGCATATGCCTGTAGTCTCAGCTACTTGGGAGGCTGAGGAATGAGAATCACTTGAACCTGGGAGGTGGAGGTTGCAGTGAGCTGAGATCACACCACTGCACTCTAGCCTGGGCAACAGAGTGAGATACTGTCCAAAAAAAAAATTACTTAATTAATTAATTAAAAAAAGGGATTTCAGGCTTTATTTTTAATTTTTTTTTTTTTTTTGAGACGGAGTTTCACTCTTGTTGCCCAGGCTGGAGTGCAATGGCACATCTTGGCTCACTGCAACCTCCGCCTCCCAGGTTCAAGCGATTCTCCTGCCTCAGCGTCTCGAGTAGCTGGGATTACAGGCATGCGCCACCACGCCGGGCTAATTTTGTTTTTTTAGTAGAGATGGGGTTTCTCCATGTTGGTCAGGCTGGTCTCAAACTCCCAACCTCAGGTGATCCACTCACCTTGGTCTCCCAAAGTGCGGGGATTACAGGCACCAGCCACCGTGCCCTGCCATGGATTTCGGGCTTTCTAATGGTAGAGTATGGCCTGATATATTGGCACCCACAAAGAAGCTGCCCTTTTTTTTTTTTTTTCTGAGACAGAGTCTCGCTCTGTTGCCCAGGCTGGAGTGCAGTGGCGCAATCTTGGCTCATGCAAGCTCCGCCTCCCAGGTTCACGCCATTCTCCTGCCTCAGCCTCCCATGTTGCTGGGACTACAGGCGCACGCCCGGCAATTTTTTTGTATTTTTAGTGGAGTCAGGGTTTCACCATGTTATCCAGGATGGTCTCGATCTCCTGACCTCGTGATCCGCCTGCCTCAGCCTCCCAAAGTGCTGGGATTACAGGCGTGAGCCACCGTGCCCGCCAGAAGCTGCCTATTCCTAAATATACCTTGTACTAAACAAAAATGGATAGAAAACAGGTATCATGCTCTGTCTTCTCCCTTCCCCAGTTGACCAACATGTGCAGTTGGTCTCACTGCTCTGAGTATCATGATTGTCAGAAGATAGGCAAAGAGCTGCTGGCAGAGACCCTGGCAGCAGTACGAATTAGGCTGGAATGTGATATGCGATTCTGCAATACTCAGTGAAGGGATGACTCATGCTTGACGGTTATAAACAAAAAAGGACGCCAACACTGTTTCCTGGAGACAGGGAGTGAAAAAATAAAAATTAATATAAAGAGGATGAGCCAGAGCTGTTATGGGCCTTAGTATGGCCACCTGAGAGGGAAGTCTGACCTCAGACTGTTTCATGGATGGCTATATACCTTCTTAGCACCTAGAACAGTGCCTGGCACTTAGTAAGCATCCAATAAATAAACATGGAATGAATTAATGAAGAAATGATGCTCAAAGCCACTTTCAATCGGCATATGTAAAATCTTCTATCTTTCAACTCCCATCCCACACATTTTATCCCACACATTTATCTGAAATTGCATTTGCCTCTACTCCAAGAATAAAGCAATGAGTAAGCATTTTGCTCCTAACTCAATCAAGTAAAAAGAATCTCAAGGAATCATGACAATAACCCATAATTCCTATATTGAGTCATAGTGAATTCCTAAAGAGATTTCTCTTGTAGAACGCATTCTGCATAAATCTGTGGAGTTTACAGAAGTTGATCTGTTACCACCCATTTTCTCGGCATGATTAAGAAATGCAATAGAGGCTGGGTGCAGTGATTCACGCCTGTAATCCCAGCATTTAGGGAGGCCGAGACAGGCAGATCACCTGAGGTTGGGAGTTCAAGACCAGCCTGATCAACATGGAGAAACCCCATCTCTGCTGAAAACACAAAATTAGCCGGGGTGGTGGCGTATGCCTGTAATTCCAGCTACTCGGGAGGCTGAGGCAGGAGAATTGCTTGAGCCCAGGAGGCGGAGGTTGCGGTGAGCCGAGATCATGCCATAGCACTCCAGCCTGGGCAACAAGAGTGAAACTCCCTCTTAAAAAAAAAAAAAAAAAAAAAAAAAAAAAAAAAGAAATGCAATAGAAAGGAGCTTGCTACTCTACAAACACCAGAATATACTTCTTTGGTTTTGTTTTGGGTATAAAGTGTAAAATGACACTATTTTATTTATTTTTAAATTTTTTGTAGAGACAAAATCTCACTAAGTTGCCCAGGCTGGTCTTAAAACTCCTGAGCTCAAGCGATCCTCCTGCCTCAGCCTCCCAAAGTGCTAGGATTATAGGCATGTGCCACTGTGCCCAGCCAGTGACGCTATTTTAAATGCCAAGAAGTAATCACTCAATCACTGACGAAGGCTGACCCCTTCCTAAGAATACTGACTCTTATAGGTGAAGAATCCTTACTCTGTAGCTCATGGCACATTACTAAAACTCTATTATAACAAAGGATGATTATACTAACTGATAATTCAAACAGAAAACAGTGGCCTGGCACAGTGTCTCACGCCTGTAATCCTGGCACTTTGGAAGGCTGAGGCTGGAAGATCCCCTTGAGCCCAGGAGTTCGAGACCAGCCTGGGCAATATGGCGAGACTCCATCTCTACAAAAAATAAAACAAATTAGCCGGGTATGGTGACACCCACCTATAGTCCCAGCTACTCAGGAGGCTGAGGCAGGAAGATCCCTTGAGCCTAGGAAGTTGAGGTTACAGTGAGCCGTGATCACGTCACTGCACTCTAGCCTGAACAACAGAGTGAGACCCTATTTCTAAAATATAAACAAACATACAAACAAAAAGCCAGAAAACAGTTATGTACGCAGGCTAAAGTTGGTAGGTAGCAGATGTCTTTGCTTTCTCTAGAGTTCTGAAGCCTCAGGTTCACACACAACTATATATTAGTAATTGTCCTGCCCTTGGACAGCCTTGACCTCTATCCTTGTCCCCATATTCTAGCTACTTTACTTCCAATTCTCCTCTCGTGACATTCTCATGGGGCATTTGAAAGGTTTCTCCTGTTTGTTTTCACACAGGGCTGATTCTTTTTCATTTCTAAATAGTTCCCTGAACCATCACTCTTAAATATTAATTACATATTAAGTAAAATACCTCCCTATTTTTGTTATTGTATAGAAAATACCTTGACTTGGCTGGGTGTGGTGGCTCATGCCTGTAATCCCAGCACTTTGGGAGGCCAAGGCGGGTGAATCACTTAAGGTCAGGAGTTTGAGACCAGCCTGGCCAACATACTGAAACCTTATCTCTACTAAAAATACAAAAATTAGCCAGGCATGGTGGCAGGCACCTGTAATCCCAGTTACTCAGGAGGCTGAGGCAGGAGAATCGCTTGAACCCAGGAGGCGGAGGTTGCAGTGAGCCAAGATCGTGCCACTGCGCTCCAGCCTGGGAGACAGAGCGAGACTTCATCTCAAAAAAAAAAAAAGAAAAAGAAAATACCTTGACTCTTTTTGGTACATATACTTTCCAAGGGGGAGCTGCAACCAAACAGGCTATAACATGTTTCTAGGTTATAACATGCCTCAAAGAAACTGGGATCAATGTGAAGGCAAACCAGAGTTTTATCCCAGTAGTCAACATTGAATGGATACAAGCTCATCTCCCTACCTAGTAAAAGCATCAGTGTGTAACTCAGGCCAGATATAAGACTTAGAAAAAACAGAATCACAGTCATAGCCCTCAGTAGCCATAGAAAGCATGAGACAATCATGCTAAAAGTAGAAGAATATTTATAATCCCAAACACCCCAAAGCAAAGGCTTTAGCTCTGATTCTCAACTCATGAGCATGAAGACTTTAAGGATCTCAACTCTCTTCTCTCTATCTCGAATGACAATGGATTAGGTAACCGACAAGTTGATAAGAATATATTGAATGGTCTCTATGCATTCTACCTAATGGACAGTCAAACACCCAGGTATCTACTGATGCAGATAACAGTAGAAATCTGAATTTTATTCTCTTGCCACTTACTAGATTGAGAGAGAGAGACAAAATATTTTCTCTAGAATGGAGAAGAGGGAAATAGAAAGGAGGGAAAACTTTACCTTTCAACTTTTATATACTTCTGTATTATTAACCTTTTATAACAGCTTTCTCCTTTCATTTTATTACAAAAGTAAGCCATAATGAATTATGAAGAACGTTCTCTCTAATAAGAGTAGAAGAATAACTATAAGTAAGTTGGAACAAGAAGCCTTAAGTTTTGGGAGGAGTTCCAATGTGGATGATCGTCAGGGAAAGGATGGGTGGCTGAGAGAGCAGGAAATCTTCTCAAGGACACTGATTTATTCAAAGGCAGGTGGAAATGGGCTTACTATGTGCCAGACACTGTGGTAGGTGCTTTCAACACATTCTCTCACTTTAGCCTCATACCAATTCTAAAAGATAGGAATTATAGGCCGGGCACACTGACTCATGTTTGTAATCCCAGCACTTTGGGAGGCTGATGCAGGCAGACTGCTTCAGCCTAGAAGACCAGCCTGGGCAACATGGCAAAACCCCATTTCTACAAAAAAATACAAATATTAGCCAGGCATAGTAGCATGCACCTGTAGTCCCAGGCACTCAGGGGCTGAGGTGAGAGGATCACTTGAGCCTGGGAGGTTGAGGCTGCAGTGAGCCAAGATCTTGCTACTGCACTCCAGCCTGAGCGACAAAGTGAGATACTGTCTCAAAAAAAAAAAAAGACAGGAATTATAGCCCCATCTTACAAATGAGAGAACAAAGTGACACAGCTAAGTGACAAAACCAGGATATAAATCCAGGTCCATGTAGCTACAAAGACAATGTTTAAACAGTCATTGAAGGCCCACTGTGTGTCAAGCACTGTCTGATTTGGTGTTTGGGAAGTTATGAAAGTAGAATAAAAGATAGACTAGATGCGGCCGGGCGTGGTGGCTCATGCCTGTACTCCCAGCACTTTGGGAGGCCGATGTGGGTGGATCTTGAGGTCAGGAGATCACGAGCATCCTGGCTAACGCGGTTAAATCCCATCTCTACTAAAAATATAAAAAAATTAGCCGGGCGTGGTGGTGGGCACCTGTAGTCCCAGCTATTTGGGAGGCTGAGGCAGGAGAATGGTGTGAACCCGGGAGGCAGAGCTTGCAGTGAGCCGAGATCGCGCCACTGCACTCCAGCCTGGGCAACAGAGTGAGAGTCCGTCTCAAAAAAAAAAAAAAAAAGATAGACTAGATGCTTTCAGGGGTCCTAACAATTCTAGCTAGGGTTCTGTATTAAGAAGTATATGCTGGTTACAAAGTAAAGGCTTTGTTATCAAACAAGATAATATCCTCTATGGATTGGCTGAGACATCACAATAGCAGTCAAAAAGAAAATATTGTTAATAGTCCTAACAACAGTTTCTGCCCGTTGACAATACTTTTCAATCTCTGAGTCTCTGAATTAGGGAAGATTCCCTACCCCATCCATCCTCTACTCAGAAGGAAACAAACAAATATGTGAGATAGTAAAAACAGAAAGGAAGCCATTTGGTGCAGGAAAGAGGTAGAATCCTAGCAAAGGCAGAAGACAAAAGAAGAAGATTAAGACTGTGACTGCTGTCAGATTTTTGCCTCAAGAGCTAACCCTGGAAGGCCAGAGATGAATCACTGACAGTGAATTGAGAAAATACAGCCTCAGCTTCAGGATGTTATTTTGTTTTGTTTTGTTTTTACTTTAAGTTCTGGGATACATGTGGGGAACGTGCAGGTTTGTTACATAGGTATGGTTTGCTGCACCTATCAACCCGTCATCTAGGTTTCAAGCTCCACCTGAATTAGGTATTTGTCCTAATACTCTCCCTCCCCTTTCCCCCCAGCCCCCGACAGGCCCCCGTGTGTGATGCTCCCCGCCTTGTGTCCATGTGTTCTCATTGTTCAACTCCCACTTATGAGTGAGAACATGCAGTGTTTGGTTTTCTGTTCCCGTGTTAGTTTGCTAAGAATGATGGCTTCCAGCTTCATCCATGTCCCTGCAAAGGACATGAACTCATTCTTTTTTATGGCCACACAGGATGTTTTTATTTATTTAGTTATTTTTTGAGACAGAGACCCAGGCTGGAATGCAATGGCGCGGTCTCAGCTTACCGCAACCTCCACTTCCCAGGCTCAAGTGGTCTTCCCGCCTCAGCCTCCTGAGTAGCTGGGACTACAGGCATGTGCTACCACACCCAGCTAATTTTTGTATTTTTTGTAGAAAGAGGGTTTTGCCTTGTTGCCCAGGCTGGTCTCAAACTCCTGAACTCAAGCGCTCTGCCTGCCTCGGCCTCCCAAAGTGCTGGCATTACAGGCGTGAGCCACTGTGCCCAGCCAGGCTGTTCTTTTAAGAGATATCAAGGTTACTATAGTGAGCATAGGGATTAAAAAAAATTATTGCCTCTGAATCACACATATCCTTCATAGGTATATTAGCCTATAACAGGAACTCCCAGGTTTTTTGGTAAAGAGCAATGTATGCAGGATGGTTAGATTTTACTATGTATGCTAGTGCATGCTAGGGTAAAGGTGAGAGAGATATTAAAAACAAAATAGGATTACTGCCATGAAGAATTTATAATTTAGCATTTACCTGAACTTTCCACATCCTTTTTAAATATATCACTTCAGTTTCCTTTTTTTGCCACATAAAATAAGAGTTTTTAAAATTTTAATTATACCTCTAGAATATCATTTCTTGTTTCTCTGTCCTGTACATATAAATGATCCTTGTTTCTTTTCCCTTGGAGTTGACCATTTTTTGGCCCAATTCCATAGACTCCTTCCTCCAACAGTATCTTCTTGCCCTGAGGATCTCACTCAGCAGTCTTTCCTACCTTTTACCTATCAACTTTTATCTTTTAACCTAGATATACTCAAGAGACAATATGGTATCTAACTAAAGGTAAGTAATATATAACAAATGTTGGGTTTGTTTTTTTTGAGACAGAGTTTCACTCTTGTTGCCCAGGCTGGAGTGCAGTGGCATGATCTCGGCTCACTGCAACCTCTGCCTCCCTGGTTCAAGTGATTCTCCTGCCTCAGCCTCCTGAGTAGCTGGGGTTACAGGTGCCTGCCACCATGCCCAGCTAATTTTTGTATTTTTAATAGTGACAGGGTTTTACCATGTTGGCCAGGCTGGTCTCAAACTTCTGACCTCAGGCGATCAGCCCACCTCAGCCTCCCAAAGTGCTGGGACCACAGATGTGAGCCACAGATGTTGGGGTTTGTGTGTGTGTGTGTGTGTGTGTGTGTGTGTGTGTGTGTGTGGCGGGGCAGGGGTGTGGTTTTTTTTGAGATAGGGTCTCACTCTGTCACCCAAGATGCAATGCAGCCTCGACCTCCTGGGCTCAAGTGATCCTCCTGCCTCTGCCTCCTATGTAGCTTGGACCACAGGTGTACACCTCCACACCTGGCTAATTTTTTGTAGAGACGAGGTCTCACTTTGTTGCCCAGTCTGGTCTTGAAATGCCAATACCTAGACAAGAATTGAGAGATGCCAGTTTTCTAGCAACAAACAGTGTTTAGTAAATTTGGGGTTAAAATTTTATGTAAACTTGTCATTTTAAGATCCTTTATAATGCTTATGAGTTGTAAAAGCATTAATTACTGAAAATTTTAAAATAGCAATATCTGTTTATTAAAAACAGGTTAGCAAAACAGACGAACAAACAAACAAAAACAATTAGTGGCCAGGCGTGGTGGCTCATCCCTGTAATCCCAGCACTTTGGGAGGCCGAGGCAGGCAGATTGCTTGAGCTCAAGTGTTTGGGACCAGCCTGGTCAACATGGTGAAACCCCGCCTCTATAAAAAACACAAAAATTAGTCAGGCATGGTGACGCACGCCTGTAGTCCCAGCTACTTGGGAGGAGGCAGGAGAATCACTTGAGCCAGAAGTTGCAGTGAGCCAAGATCGTACCACTGTACTCCCAGCCTGGACAACAGAGTGAGACCCTGTCTCAAAAATTAAAAAGCCAAAACAAACCAAAACAAAAAAACAGATTAGCTATTAGTTGAGGACTATAAAGATAAAACTTTACTACTCCCATTGGTTAGAGTTAAAAACGGTAAAAAAAAAAAAAAAAAAAAAAAAAGGCCAGGCGCTGTGGCTCACGCCTGTAATCCCGGCACTTTGGGAGGCCGAGGTGGGCGGATAACCTGAGGTCAGGAGTTCGAGACCAGCCTGGCCAACATGGCGAAACCCCATCTCTACCAAAAGTACAAAAATTAGCCAGGCATGGTGGCAGGCACCTGTGATCCCAGATACTCGGGAGGCTGAGGCAGGAGAATCGCTTGAACCTGGGAGGCAGAGGTTGCAGCGAGCCGAGATTGCGTCATTGCATTCCAGCCCGGGTGACAAGAGTAAGACTCCGTCTCAAAAAAAAAAAAAAAGTTCCCTGAAGTAAACCCCAACAGATAACACCATGAGCCAAAAACCAGGTCAGTATGTGGAAGCCCAAAGGGCCAAAAGCACCTGGTGGGGATAAACAGGCTACTGATCAGAGCAGATCAACTGAAGGTATGTAACTGCCACAGTAAATGAAACGCCACCTCCAGGCTGCAGGAATCCCATCTTACGCTGAGCAAGTTTAATCACTTCTGCTGCTGCTTCTTCCTTTTCTTATAGGTGTTCACAGGAAAAAAAAAAAAGCACACACACACACACACACACAGAGATATATCAGATTGAGCAACTCTAAGGCAGACAACTGTTCCATCAGATTTGTAAGAAGAAAGAAAAAGAAAAGGAGGTGTCAGATATACATGCTTGAAGGAAAGGCAGGAGGGTGGGGAAGAGGGAGTACTTTTGTATACAAAGACACAACTAGTGAATATGGTGAATGGTGAAATGTGCTGCCAATTGGAAAGTGACTATATTTGAACACTAAATGAGGTTTCAGATACTAATGGCTTGACGGTGTTCCTCTATTGTTGAATTATGAACTGAGAATCTCAGGGGATCCAGAATTAAAAAGGTGGAATACCAAGCAGTGTGGGTCCATGTGAGTTGGCCTATTCTGGAACAAACTGAAAATGGCTAATTTATGAGGACTTTAAAATAACGTATTAGAAGAATGACCATTGTATAAGAGGGCAGGGGAAATTCTGCTTTGATAATTTGACAGTTCAAAATGAACATTGCATTTCCCCTAATTCAATCTTGATTTCCTTTAGCTAAATGTTTCCTTTCTTTACTACCCTCTTCACAAATCAGATGGAAGGGCTGTTTAGAGCTAACTCACTGGTCCTAAAAATAACTGGAGCTAAACAAAAAGCTCATTCTTGCTGGCATGAACAGTCTTCCAGGTAGCTGCTGTACAATGCCCCCAGCAGTAAGCTGAGCATTGCTGATGTATCTAACAGAGACAGGAGCTGGGCTGCAGTGAGAGGGCAGTGCTTGGATTCCACGAAGGTTGCAAGGCCCTCTGAGACTCAACATCAAAGGGTTCTAAACTTAGAACTACAGGGATCTGGTATGAGGCCTACATCAAAACCACTGGAGAATAAAGCAGATCTTGAGAAACACTGGCCAAGGAAGCCTCACAAACCACATGAAACAACATGAGAGGCTAGAGAATTCCTCAAGAAAAGAGAAGAGAGAATATATTTTTTAACTATGCTGAGAGAAAGCTGATTTGGTAACTCAACACCCCATCCAAGTAGTCTCCTCAGTTGTTCCCTCTGTCTGCATGCTTAGCACACACCAGGAGCAGGCCCTGGGAGCTCTCAGTGGGAAGACACATGCTCAGATACGCGCTTGGGGGGATGGCTCATACTTTCCTTTTTGTGACTTTCTTATATCACCTCAATTTATGGAACAAAAGTAAATGAGCATTAGAAATTAAAAAAAAAAAATTTAGGGCCAGGCATAGTGGCTCACGCCTGTAATCCCAGCACTTTGGGAGGGTGAGGGGGGCGGATCACTTGAGGTCAGTAGTTCCAGACCAGCTGGCCAACACAGTGAAACTCCATCTCTACTAAAAATATAAAAATTAGTCGAGTGTGGTGGCAGGCGCCTATAATCCCAGCTACTTGGGAGGCTAAGGAAAGAGAATCGCTTGAACCCGGGAGGCAGAGGCTGCAGTGAGTCAAAATCACTCCACTGCACTCCAGCCTAGGCAACAGAGTGAGACTCCATCTCAAAAACACAAACAAACAAAAAAACCCACAAAGTAATGAAGAGAAAGATCTTTAAAAAATTTTTTTTGAGACAGGGTCTCATTCTATTGCCCAAGTGTTGTACAGTGCTACGATCACAGCTGACCACTGCCTCCACTGGTTGAAGGATCACTTGATCCCCCAACCCCAGCCTTTCAAGTGGCTCAGACCACAGGTGTGTACACAGGATCTCACTAGGTTGCCCAGGCTGGTGTTGAACATTTGGGCTCAAGCTATCCTCCTCCCTCAGTCTCCCAAAGTGTTGGGATTACAGGCATAATCACTGTGCTCAGACAAGCATTAGAAATTTAAACCAATAAAATGAAGGGGCCGGGTATGGTGGCTCATGCCTGTAATCCCAGCACTTTGCAAGGTTGAGAGGTGGGAGGATCACTTATGGTCAGGAGTTTGAGACCAGCCTGGCCAACATGGCGAAACCCCATCTCTACTAAAAATACAAAAATTAGCTGGGCGTGGTGGCACACACCTGTAATCCCAGCTACTTGGGAGGCTGAGGCAGTAGAATTGCTTGAATCTGGAAGGCGGAGGTTGCAGTGAGCCAAGACTGCGCTACTGTACTCCAGCCTGGGCCACAGAGCAAGACTCTCTCTCAAAAATAAAAAATAATAATAGTAATTTAAAAAAATAAAATGAAGGGACTAAGAGAAAAAAGTCAAATGATTTGCCTCTCCTGCAGATGGCTTTGTCACATTCCAGGATTGTTACTAAAGGCAAGAATGGGGAAAATCACCACCTGACTCACAGCAGTCATTTCTGCTATTTAACAGTATTATTATTATTTTTTTTAGAGACAGGGTCTCACTATGTTGCCCAGGCTGGATACAACTTCTTAGGTTCAAGCAATCCTCATGCCTCAGTCTCCCCAGTAGCTGGGACTACAAGGGTGTGCCACTGAGACCAACAGTGTTTTTTAAGCTACAGGTTATAATCTATCAGGTCATAGCATCAACTTAGTGGGTTGCTACTAACATTTTCAAAAAATGAAGTCGAAGAGAGAAGAAATTATCAGTATGTATTGCAGAAAGCAAAAGTAATATTTCATGAAACTTATATTTCAAATGTATATGTGTATATATGTACTGGGTCCTGAAAGAAAATGTATGTCTTACAGTGAATTAAAATATAAAAAAGTAGCCAGGCGTGGTGGCTCACGCCTGTAATCCCAGCACTTTGGGAGGTTGAGGTGGGTGGATCACTGAGGTAAGGAGTTCTAGGCCACCCTGGCAAACATGGTGAAACCCTGTCTCTACTAAAATTACAAAAATTAGCCAGGTGTGGTGGCGGGTGCCTGTAGTCCCAGCTACTCTGTAGGCTCAGGCAGGAGAACCACTTGAACCCAGGAAGCGGAGATTGCAGTGAACTGAGATCGCACCATTGCACTCCTGCCTGGGCAACAGAGAGAGACTCCATCTCAAAAAAGAAAAAAAGAAAAGAAAAAAAATATATATATAAGTTTGAAAACCATTGAGCTATTGGAAGCTTGAAGGAACTAGACCAAGACTGTATACTACAGAGAGACTGTGTATGGATGGATGAAATACTTGTGAATTGTGAAGAAGTTCATGGGTCAACTGAACATGCCACAGTTAATATACAAAGATTACTGCCAGAGTTACTATCAGAGCTATTCAAAAACCCTCACATTATCCTGGAGCTAGGAAATGTGAACTCTCAGTTTGAAAACACAGGAAACCACCACTGAAACTGAGCTGAGAGAGAATGGGGGCTTGTTACATAGCCCCCTGTGGCATTTATCAAGATGAAAGAAATATGGACTGTGGAAGGAAATGAGAGGACAATTTTTACTTCTAGAGTGTCACAGGCCATGGCCACAACCAAAGGACTCATTCATTGACTGAGAAACTAAGCTTCTTAGAAGTGGGGTAGATGAAGTGGTTATAAGAAAGAAGGAAAGAAGAAACCACTCTTTCAGGTCCTGCCAAACTAGCCCATCCTTCCTGGCACAGTTAACCAAGAGCAAAACTCTGAGTATGGCTGAATTATTTTATCCCTACCCACTCCTGACCCTGCCATAGTCACATCCCCATTTGGTCTAATTAAATAGCCTGGTCCTAACTATCCAGTAGGAAAGGAAACGCAGACCAAGACAGAAGTTATTTCCTAAGTGATAATGTATAAAGTCTTAGACAATATGATATCTTACGAGATGGCACAGATCTGTGCTCTCTTTGGGAGTTTATGAGAGAAACTAAGATACTCTTCAAATAACAGGATCTCCGCGTCTCCTTACATTGAGCCAGACCTGTCCTCACATTCCCATGTTCCTTATAAAGTAGGAGAAATGATCTATCCTCTGTACTACTTAGTAAATTAATGGTTAGATCTAAGGAAGAACCCACAAAATTCTTCACTTGGTCTCAATTCCAATAAGAACAATACTCATCCATCATCTATCATTCCTTTTAGAAAGAGGTAACTAGAGACAATTCAAGCAATATCTTCCTGTTAAGAAATGAGAAAGGATTTCTAACTTTGATTACAATTATTCTGTAAAAGCATGCTAAGATACAAGTATCACATATTCCTTTCATTTCAGAAACAGAGATAAGGAAGTGAGGAGACAAGCAAACTACTCAGGGCCTTGCAGCATGGTAAGGAGAGGCAGGAATGGGTATTGCTACAGCCTTGTTTGTTTTTCAACTTCCCAGATTATGTTCCTCTGACTCCACTAGCCACTGCTGCTCAGAGTTCAGACTATATATCATCGAATTACTTTTTTAGAAAGTCAAAATAAAAGGAAAGCTGGTATATATGTATACAATTGGTATAGAAGTATGAGATTGGTACCTGTAAGAGAGCATGGTGCATCGTTACCTCCAGTTCCGCTAAAACATGAGCAGCATCCTCATTGTTCTCTTGGACCTCCAGATCCTCCTCAGGGATGGTCTCCCAGTTGCCCTGATGAGCAACCAGCGTGTGCACTAGTTCATACTGTCCAGGGAGCGCCAGGCTGACCCGAGTCTGAGTCCCATAGGTGAAGCGGAGGCGCCGAAGCTTACAGCTCTCCTCACTGCCCAGCTTGGTGGTGGGAAGCACCTGCACCCCCAACAGCAGATTCAACAGCTGGCACTTGACGTTACAATCCTGGCCGAGGATCAGTATGCAAGGGAGGCAGTCCACAATCTGCTGGAGGTACTTCTCTTCCTTAGGTGGGAAGGAAATGCAGCTCAGTTGGCCTGGTTGGGGAAGGGGAGAGTGGAGGAAGAGAAAGGAGTAGAGAGAGAGGAGTGAGGAAGGGGAGAGAGAGAGACTCACGCAGAAATCCCATGAGGAAGACAAGGTCCTAGAGGAGAAATTTCTAGGAACCTTGGTTGAAGGACATATCAGGGAAAAAACCCCAGTGAGAAAAAGCTCTTCACATATCAAACAGAATTCCTTTCCCTAGCTCACCCCCTAGGAACAAACTGTTATTTCTACCCAGAAATGTGGGAGTGACCTGATCTTCCCGCCCCGCTCCTTTTTCATTCAGTGGAGGGACAGCCTAAGGAGTTTATAAGGACTCCATCACAAACACCAAGATTATTAAAATAACAAAGCCAGAAAAAAACTACACTAGTTGGGATGTGAGCCCAAGGAGAAACGTAACTGAATGTGTCAAAATTAAACCCTTTCTTCTGACAGAAGACCTAATACTTGAACTCAGATTACAGTCGTGTGTTGCTTAACAACAGGCATACATTCTGAGAAATGCATCATCAGGCAATTTTGTCATTGTGTAAACATCAGAGTGTACTTACACAAACTTAGGTGGTATGGGTATAGCCTACTACACACCTAGGCTATAGGGTGTAGCCTATTGTTCCTAGGCTACAAACTTGTACAGCATGTTACTGTACTGAATACTATAGACAGCTGTAACACAGTGGTAAGTATTTGTGTATCTAAACATATCTAAACATAGAAAACGTATGCTAAAAATACTGTACCTTTGTTGACCAAGATGCCATCATGCAGCACATAATATAGCACTATGGAGCCCTTTTAAATTATCTACCATATGCGGTTTTAGCTTATGTTCTTCATTGTGACATATTTTACTACTAAATGTATGAGCTATAAATGTATAAAATGTATAAATGTATAAAATGAAATGTTATTCAAGTTTGCATAAGCTCTAGAATCTTTTCCAGTTCATCTCTCTGATGGCTGGTGACAACGTCCCAGCTGCCAAGTCATCTGTTTCCTTAAAACACTGGGTGCTCAATTAACATCAATACCTCCTAATCAAATCACATTCCTTCTGTTTATGGGAGACAAGACCCTAAATAGGACAAAGGGAAAGAACTGCCTATTAGGATAAAATCCAGGCAAATCTAGAAAGAGATGTGATTTATTTCAAAAACATTCTCCTTGATGGACATCCCAATTACCCTGATTTGACCATTACCACATTGTTACCCACATATCGAAATACCACATGTATCCTATAAATATGTACAATTACTATGTGTCAATTTAAAAAATCTGTTTTTCACCACCCTTACGTTTTGTACAAAAAAAATAAAAAATAAAAATCTAAAACAAAAAAAAACAAAAAAAACTTCTCCTTTCAAGGCAACTACTACTAATCTAAATGGATAACTTCCCCAAACACGTTCAAATAATGTTCAAGACAGAACAAGCTTCCTAAAGAATGAGAATCTGTGTTTGAGAAAAATAATCCGAAATTAGTTCACTGAAACTCTCAGCCTGAACTATATCACTTCCTTATTCCTTCAGTATCAGTGTCTGCCTATCTCTAAGATTCAGGCAATTCCTGCATTTGTTCAGAAAAGCACAGACACAGTTCTTAGGCTGCAAAAGGGCCAATCCTTGAGCCAAACACATCCATCATAACTGAAATTTTGGGTGGCACTAACTGAAACAGTATTTGCTTTAGTCACTTAACCATAAGCTGCATTAAATTATTTGTAGGCCATTTATTTTGTTTGTTTCCAGAATTGGAAGCATAAGAGGCCTGAATCAATTAAGAGGTGGTTCTACTTCAGAGTGAACCTACCTAGCTACGATTTCAAATCCCCAAGCATCCTTCTCTTCCACAAACAGTAACACCAAAAGGGTTAAAGAGGTCTGTGTTCACGCAGATCCCTCTATGCATTTCATTAGGGCCCTTCTTTTCATGTCTGTCTATAAGGATATCAGCCTGGCCCGCACATATACATCAGCAACACCAGACACTGAAACAAGCAAATCTACTCTCCTTGGAAAGAGATGAGTGCCTTTCAAAAACCAACAGAGTTAACTAAGTATATAATTCTGTGCAAGGGTATTTACTAAATACAAGAGTATAACACCAGACCACTAGTCTACTCTTTTGATCTACAACCTAAAAGCAAGAGGACACAGCAAATTGCTTGTGTGGCCACTTAACAAGTAGCAACAGGCCAGTCCTGAGTTCCTTCATACCTTATTCTCAACTGCAGAACACCTACCATGCTTTATTCTAATTACCTGTTTATAATCATCTAAAGCAGGAAGAACCATCCTATTTCATCCTCAACACCCAACACAATGCCTGACACTTACCAAGGGCTTAATGTCATAGATTTGTTTGTTTTGTCTGAGAATCCATTTAGTGGGGACAGCTACCTATAGAAAGCTGTAAGCAAACCCACTGAGTACTTTGAAAAGTCCAGTATCATGATGAATAGTTTAAGAGCAACCATCACTCCTAAAAACCTCCTTCATGTGGATAAAAGAATAGGACCCTTCAGCCAGGTGCAGTGGCTCACACCTGTAATCCCAGCAGTCTGAGAGGTGGAGGTGGGCAGATCACCTGAGGTCAGGAGTCCGAAACCAGCCTGGCCAACATGGCGAAACCCTGATTCTATTAAAAATACAAAAAATCAGCTGGGCGTGGTGGTAATCCCAGCTACTCGGGAGACTGAGGCAGGAGAATCGCTTTAACCCGGGAAGCGGAGGTTGCAGTGAGCCAAGATCACGCCATTGCACTCCAGCCTGGGCAACAGAGCGAGACTCCATCTCAAAAAAAAAAAAAAAAAAAAAACCCAAGAGTAGGACCCTTCCATTCATCTTGTGGAATTTAACTACCATAGTCTCAGCTCGAGCAGTGAGAAGTCCAGCTAGACTGTCTTCACCTCACCTACACTTCCTAGCTTTCTTCTATTCCCTGTCCTCCCCAGATTTTCACATAAGTGTCTACGCATGAATGCATACTGACAACCTTTAAATTCCTATAATAAAAATGGTTTCATCACAAAAAGACCAACAAAACTAAATAACCTTTGTTACTGCTACTACCAGGAGAGTGGATAATAGAGAAGAAAACCGACTAAATCACTTTTCAGGACGAGAGGGAGAGAGCCTCTGCACCTCTGAAACAAAGTGTCAACTACAGGACAGCCAATGAAACAGGCTGCATCAGCCAAAACCAGAGCAGACACACCCCATTATTCATCTGACCCAAATGAACACTTCCCCCCTCCATCTTTCCTACAAAAAGTCACCACAAATAAACTTGCTACTGTCAAAACGACCAAAGACCAGCGCAGTAGGAAAGGGTGCTGAAGTTGATCCCAGTACACTGTTAGAAGTCCATGGCAAACATCACCGTCTTTGTTTTCCAACATGTCACTATCCAAGCTCTTTGCTTCTCCCACTAAATCTTTAGCTTTTTCATCCATTTGACATCTCTACCAGATTTGAACAAGGGCATGGAGAGAAATGAAGTTGAAAGCAGATGGTTTTACTCCTGGATTCTTGCACACTGCTCAGTGATGTGGTGGAATGCAATATGGAAGTGGGAACAGCACGAGAATGAAGGCAGGCTTTGCCACTCTGACTAGCTCTGTGACCTTGGCAATCCACTCGATCTTTCTGAGCCTTGAAATGCTCGTCGGTAAATGGAGGGGGGTGGAGTTGGATTAGATAATCTTTAACATGCTTTCCAGTTCTAAAATGCCAGGTTTTAACTGCTGAAAGACCAATGATGTGAGGGGGATGGGTGGTTGGTGTGGTGGTTTTTATTTTATTTTAAATTATATGTGAATTTAATTACGCAAGTGCCCCTTGGACCACTATAACTGCAGAACAAAAAGTAGACTGAACTAGCCAGGGGCTCTGAGGACCTACAGTGCAGTCTTAGCAGTTCTCTAAAGAAGAGATTAAAAGCTGTAGACTGACAGTAGGAGGGAGGAAGAAAACCTGTTTCAGAGCTGGAGCAGCTGCCTCACTGACAGTTAAAGGACTTCAAGTTAATCGAGTTTTCTTTTGTAATTAATACAACAGCATCTGCATATGGGCTGCCAGAAGGTAACAGCATGGCTTCTCAGCTGGCTCACATTAACCCTGCCAACTCTGGCTGGAGGAAAAATCATATCAAATTGTCTTAAGTGCAAACCAAGGCTTCTGTTGTTGTTGTTGTTCTTGGTGGTTGTTCTTAAATACAGATTTTGATTTTTGTTTACTTCTAAACAAAAGTTTCAAGCTAGATGGAAGAGAAGAACAACTAAAGCAGCAACCTATTTTGGTTTTTGTTTTACATAACATTTATTGAGCCCTTTCTATGTATTGATCACTTTATTTGCTTCATTTCATTTAATGCTCACAATTCTACAAGACAAGGACTATTATTAACTCCATTTAAAAATGAAGAAATGGACCAGGCATGGTGGCTCACGCCTATAATCCCAGGACTTTGGGAGGCCGACATGGATGGATGGATGGAGCTCAGAAGTGCGAGACCAGCCTGGGCAACAAAGGGAGCAACCCCCGCCGTGCCTTTGTTTCTACTAAAAATTTTAAAAAATCAGCTAGGCATGGTGATGTACTACTCAGGAGGCTGAGGTGTGAAGACTCCTTGACCCTGGGGAGGTCGAGGCTGCAGTGATCTGTGATCACGCTACTGTGAGACTCTCCTGGGTGAGTCACCTGCCTCACAAAATAATAATAATAAAGATGAGGAAATGGATGCTCAAAAAACCAAACCAGGCTGGGCGTAGTGGTTCATGCCTGTAATCTCAGCACTTTGGGAGGCCAAGGCAGGTGGATCACCTGAGGTCAGGAGTTCGAGACCAGCCTAGCCAATATGGTGAAACCCCATCTCTACTAGAAATATAAAAACTAGCCAAGCATGGTGGCCGACGCCTGTAATCCCAGCTATTCGGGAGGCTGAGGCAGGAGAATTGCTTGAACCCGGGAGGCAGAGGTTGTAGTGAGCCGAGATAACGCCATTGCACTCCAGTCTGAGTGACAAGAGCGAAACTCCATTTCAAAAAGAAAAAACAAGAAACAGCTCAGGTTTCTCCATTTCTCTCAGCAGTGAACTGCAGAGCTCTGGGGGCCAGTAGACAATGACCCCTACGCCACATTGTTTTCCAGTCTGGGGTCAAATGCAATTTAGTAACTGTAGGACCTCAATGTAAAGCAGACTGATACAATCCCTATGAAAGTTGCCCCAAACCATGAGGAATAAAGCATATGGAGAAAACCGCAGCATTACCACTGGCTGGTACACACTTTCAAAAAATGTTATTCTACCTGAGATCTCTAAAGTCTCTTTGCTAAAAGAAACAGTAGGCTCTTTTCAGAGAAATTCTTAGTGCTCTGCTCAACAGTCAGTGTGTATTACTGTTTGGGTGACTACTCTGAAAAGAGAAGATGGGAGGGAGGAAATACTCGTGACCTGTTTCTGTTGCTAGTGACTCTTTAAGATACATACTTTATTTAAATTGTTTTTGGGGTAATGTCAATCGATTTGTAGCAACACATTCTCCTTCTTGCCTATTTTCCATCCCATCAGGCTCAGAAAACAATAGCCCAAAGTATGGTGCTTTGGCATGCTGAGCACTTTGAACTAAAGGAGATTGGAAGGCTTCAGAAGCAAGGTTGCTCTCTGACCTTCTCCTAGCCTCCTGTCTGCCTCCCCTTTTTCTCCCCTTAAGCTACTCACAGAAACCAGAATTCCTCTTCCTCAAGACCATAGAAACTAGAAACCCTGGCCGGGCACAGTGGCTCATGCCTGTAATCCCAACACTTTGGGAGGCCCAGGTGGGTGGATCACTTGAGGTCAGGAGTTCGAGACCAGCCTGGCCAACATGGTAAAACCCCACCTCTACTAAAAATACAAAAATTAGCCAGGCGTGGTAGCATGTGCCTATAGTCCCAACTAGTTAGGAGGCTAAGGCAGGAGAATCGCTTGAACCTGGGAGGTAGGGGCTGCAGTGAGCCGAGATAGTGCCACTGCACTCCAGCCTGGGCAACAGAGTGAGACTCCGTCTCAAAAAAAAAAAAAAAAAGGAACTAACTAGCAATCCTCTTCTCTGAAGCAAGCCATAAAACTAGAAAGGTTGCTCTCTTTTCCTCTGAAGACCCTCATTCCAGAGAGGACCTGCCACATCCCACACCCTGGGGGAAGGAATGCACATAAAGAGCCCAAGAATAACCTGAGCAGACCAGCCTTGCTGGGTTTCTCAGTCTATTACCATTAGATCATGTCCTACTGTCCAATCACTTTCTACAAAGCAGTCAATTCTTCATCAAACCTAAGCATAAAAACAGTTTTCCCTGGGTCTTTGTGACTTCATTTCTAAAGGCTCCCGTGTCACATAAATTTGTTATGCTTTTCTCTTGTTAAACTGTCTTTTGTTAGAGAAGTGTTGGCCATGACCCTCAAGATGAGTGAGGAAATCTATCACACCTTTCAGCCACTACCAATCAATAATACATACTCGTGAAAGGTAACTGAAGGCTCTTAAGGTACAGTCTATGTCCAAGGTAGGGAAGGCACTACAAAAGTTGGTGAAATAGAAAATGCTTTTGCTTTATTATACTCCTGCAGCTCATAAAGTTAACATGGACTTCAAAGTTAATTCAGGTCTCAACAGAGTTATTACTGCAATACTTGTTCCTGGTACCCAAGGATTTCCCTCCTTCAGTAGTTTTAAAAATCTCACTTTTTTTTTTTTTTTTAAAATAGAGATGGGGTCTCACTATGTTGCCCAGGCTGGTCTCAAACTCCTGGGTTCAAGCGACCCTCCCACCTCAGCCTCCCAAAGTGCTAGGATTATAGGCATGAGCCGCCGTGCCTGGCCTAAAAAAAAAAGACAGAGACAGAGCTCAAAAAAAGAAAACTCCAGCTCTGTCGCCCAGGCTGGAGTGCAGTAGCATGATCTTGGGTCATAGCAACCTCCACCTCCCTGGTTCAAGCAATTCCTGTGCCTCAGCCTCCCAAGTACCAAGTAGCTGGGACTACAGGCGTGTGCCAAAACTCCAGCTCTGTCGCCCAGGCTGGAGTGTAGTGGCATGATCTTGGGTCAGGGCAACCTCTACCTCCCAGGTTCAAGTGATTCTCGTGCCTCAGCCTCCCGAGTAGCAGGGACTACAGGCAAGTGCCACTAATTTTTTTTTTTTTTTTTTGTATAGACAGGATTTCACCATGTTGGCCAGGCTGATCTCAAACTCCTGACCTCAGGTGATCCGCCTGCCTCAGCCTCCCAAAGTGCTGAGATTACAGGTGTGAGCCACCATGCCTGGCCAAAAATATCACTTCTAACATTGAATTTTCCATGCTTTTATGGGAAGTCAACTTAAGTCCCCTCTGAAAGTGAATGAAAAACAAAGGATTTTTATAGTTAACTGAGGCAACCAGTGACACAAAGATGCATTTCCACAAATAGGTAGTGATGTTTTATTTCTTACTATCTATACCAAAAGTAGAGAAAAGAACAAATCCTAAATTGAGAAAGTAATCTTATATAGTCTTTCTACTACAGTCAATTCTACCACAAGCTTCAAAGTACTAAGCTACAAAAATTCCAGGGACTGAGACAGAAAAAATTCAGTCTAGAAATATTTATTTATCCTTCCTAAACAAGCTCTCTGACCTTCAGCTAAATTTTAAAGACTGACACAGAAGGCACCCTCATTTAAGACAAACAGATGCTTAGGTAGTCTGGCTTTCAGAATCTTCAGGACCAAGTAGTACACGCTATTTCTTTGGAAGGGGATGGTTATTGAAGATTAGAGACTGAAATGCACTCTAGTAGGCAAAGCTCTCGCTGGAATCGGAAAAGTCAAGTTGGCAGAAGTCTCTCTAAAGTTATTCTATGTCAGGACCACGTTAAGATCTCTCACAGCTTTTAAGAAGCAGATAGTATTGGCACCGGGGGAGAGGAGACCGCCTCCCTAGGGGCTGATACTCCCTGGGAGCCACGTGAAATGGGAACGCACTCAGCAGCATGCTGAACAAGCTCCTTTCTGGGTGAAACTGCTCCTGAGACTGGTCACACTACCGAGGGAACAGAATCACAGCTGGCAGTTGAGGCTTTAACGTATGGGACGCAGAGATGGAAGTAGTTCCTTGAAGGAAGCCAACCCCATGCTTTACAGAGGGCTTAGTTTCTGGCATTTGGAACGCAGTGTATAACAGTTTATAAGCATTACCAATGATCCAAAGGTGGGAATATGTCAAAAGGACACAGGAACCAGCTTGAAGGGAAACTCACTCACCTCACCAAAGTGGGGACAATTTATGCATAAAAAGTGATAGGAAGATATTACAATCCATTGAAAAAATTCACAAGTCTACACTGATTAAATAAACAAGAGAAAAGGAAAGCTCTTCTTTACAGTAGACTACAACTAATACATATAGAAGGAATGATGGATATAAAAATCACCATTGGGCTGCACACGGTCACTCATGCCTGTAGTCCTAGCACTTTGGGAGGCTGAGGCAGGAGGATCGCTTGAGCCTAGAAGTTCAAAACCAACCTGGGCAACATAGTGAGACTCCATCTCTACAAAAAATTTAAAAATTAGCTAGGCACGGTGGCATGTGCCTGTAGTCCCAGATACTAGGGAGGCTGAGGCAGGATTTCTTGAGCCCAGGAGATTAAGGCTGCAGTGAGCTATGATCACACTACTGCGCTCCATCCAGCCTGGGTAACAGAGCAAGACCTTGCCTGTAAAAAGAAAACAACAACAAAAAAACCCCATCACTGAGACAGGTGGGAGTTGTCAGGGAATGCTAGGTCTACTGGAAGGAGGTTTTTTGAGAAACAGGGTATCAGTGAAATACAAGAACACCTCTCCACAAACTAATCAATTGCAAAGGAAAAAAATGGTGAATTCACAAACTAATCAACTGCAAAGCAAAAAATGGTGAATTTTTTTTTTTTTTTTTTTTTTTGAGATGGAGTTTCGTTCTTGTTGCCCAAGCTGGAGTACAATGGCATGATCTCAGCTCACTGCAGCCTTCCGGGTTCGAGCAATTCTCCTGCCTCAGCCTCCCAAGTAGCAGGGATTACAAGCATGCACCACCATGCCTGGCTAATTTTTTTTTTTGTATTTTTAGTAGAGATGGGGTTTCACCATAGTGGCCAGGCTGGTCTTGAACTCCTGATTTCAGGTGATCCACCCGCCATGGCCTCCCAAAGTGCTGGGATTACAGGCATGAGCCACTGCGCCTGGCCCTAAAACTGGTGAATTTAAGGTGGAGAAAACATCTCCAGGGATGGGTTAACGTCATATACCCTGTGATGAAAGGAAAAAAAAAAAAAGGAGACATTGTTGGGACAGTTGGCAAAACCTGAACAGGGTCTGTGGACTGGATGGTAGTACTGAACCCATGTTAATTTCTTGATTTGGCGAGCTGTATGGTGATCATAGAAGCACATCCTTGTTTGGGAGGAATGCATACTGGAGTGTTTAGAGGAGATGAGAAAACCTAACTGCACTCAGCTCTCAAAAGGTTCAGAAAAAGGCTACATCTAATATAGATCAGGAAGGAGAGAGACTGGGTGATGGAACAAATCCATGAAAATGTTAACAACTAGAAAATTTGCATGAAGCAGGTATTGGAACTCTTTTATTGTTCTCGCAACACTTACGTATGTTTGAAATTATTTCAAAATAATTTTTTTAGGATCCAAATATATACCTAGCAAAGCGTATCCAGCTCTTGATCTCAGAGGAAAGAGATCAAGAGATAGGATTTTACTTGACAAGAAAAACCAGCCGGAAAAAAAAAAAATACATCAAATACAGCAATAACAGGATTTGAACAACAACAGTTTCTTCACTGTCTCCACTTTTGCCCTGCACATTACCTTCCATCCCATCAATCTTCCTGTGATGTTTACTATTGCTTGTTCAGAGTCTGGGGAGTTCAAGGCACTGATCTAAGCAAGTAGTTTAGGATCAGACTTAGAATCCAAATCCACAAGTCTAAGCAGTATAGACCAACATGATGCTCCAGTATAGAACAGTCTGATGAAAGTTACCTGTAACCATCAGGTTCATTAAATAAGAAACCACGAAGGCCGGGCGTGATGGCTCATGCCTGTAATCCCAGCACTTTGGGAGGCTGAGGCGGGCGGATCACCTGAGGTCGGGAGTTTGAGACCAGCCTGACCATCATGGAGAAACCCCGTCTCTATTAAAAATACAGAATTAGCTGGGCGTGGTGGCACATGCCTGTAATCCCAGCTACTCGGTAGGCTGAGGCAGAAGAATCGCTTGAACCCGGGAGGTGGAGGCTGCGGTGAGCCAAGATCACGCCATTGTACTCCAGCCTGGGCAACAAGAGTGAAACTCCGTCTCAAAAAAAAAAGAAAGAAAGAAAGAAAGAAACCAACAGAGGAAGCTTGACTTTGATTTTGCACTGCCTGTAGTGGCCCCTTATGTTTATTAGTGGTAGAGACTATATTGCCATTATACACTAACTACTTTTATCCTATACCAACAAACCACTTTTCCAAGTTAAAGCAGCAAAACTTTTCCAATTCTCTCCATGGGACAGAACCAGAAGAGCATGTCAGTTGTTCAATCAGGAGAAAGTGAAAGAGGTTTCCTCAGTGGGGTTCTTATATACTAAAAAATAAGAATGACTTTTCTTTACTAGCTATATTCCCCCACATTCCTCCTTGCACCTAGATATCGCCATAATATTAAACGCTAAGGCTAGAGTATATCATATGGAATATTCCTAAAACGTAAACTCCATACTGGTTCATTCTCACTGTCCCTCTCATTTGAATAGAAAGAGCTTTTATTTAAAATAGTCTTGTAACCTAGCTGCATTTGTGATAGGGCCTTAGTCTTTGCTCTGGCAAGTTTGACTTGATTTAAAAAAAACAAAAACAAAAAAACCCTGGGAAATTCTCTCCCCATTAAATAGACTAGAAAATATTAAAAAAAAGATCTAAACTGAAATTTGTCTGGCATAAATAAGGCACTAAAGCTTTTTTTTTTTTTTTTGAGATGGAGCCTCGCTCTGTCGCCAGGCTGGAGTGTGGTGGCGCGATCTCGACTCACTTCAATCTCTGCCTCCCAGGTTCAGGCGATTCTTCTGCCTCAGCCTCCCAGGCACTAAAGCTCTTAATCTGATGAAACTAAAGTTAGACACTTTGAGGATGAAAGTACTTTTTTAAAATAAGTGGAATTTTTTTAAAAAATCAAAGGCTTTTATAAATATATAACCTAGACATAATTATTTGGGACAATTCTGATGTATCATTAGTTAGACAAGTGAAAAGCAAAACAATCCTCAAGTCCTACTCCCATCATCCTGCCCAGAGCACACCACCTCAGGGAATGGAAGCATGTTATAATAAAGCCCAACTCCAAAGAAAGCGGTGGTCAAAAGGTTCCCACAGCCACGTGGCACACAGCTGGGGAATATATCCAAACTGCTCACACTGCCTAGAGAAGAAAATAGAAAAACACACTGCCTGTGATGGGCACTTCAACCAGAACCCACAGGGGATACTGATGAGTCTCCATGCTCTGACCAACTTTCCCTCCAAGAGTTTTGGTTTGGACTTTGGAGGAACATTACGCATAAGGGAACTTTCTCAGAGAGTCTCATTTATAGCTCAAAGCAAGGAGACACACATCTTAAGCATTTCTACATCTGTTCTCCTCTGGTCATGTAAGTGTCAAGTTCCAGGTTCCATAGGATCACCAAACTCCCTGTGTGACAAAGAACTGAATCAACCTCCAAGCCTGGGAATGGCCTATACTGAGACTGGACATCCTCCCACGGCACTCCAGTCAGAGCTCTGTGAGGTAAAATAGAAAAACTGCACCCCCACGTGGACTCGCCCTCTGTAGTCTTGTTATGAATGACACTACTCAGATTCCCTGCACCATGTAGGAAGCAAACCCCGTCATCCCTAGAGGCTATTTTCCTGTAAGAAGGAGCAAATTAACCTTAGGTTTTACAACCATAACCAAAAAAACCACATCCACCCATAGCTCGTAGTTTTCCTACCGGCTTCTCTGTAACTTCTAAGAAAGACAGAAATGAAAGAAGCTCTAATAGTAATCTTCATAAATGCATTCTGCATTTGAACCACAAAAACGAGATGATATAATTTTTCCATCAAAGAGAAAATAGGCTGATTTTCCTCTACTGTCAGAAAGTGGGCAGAACATTTCAACTCTTATTCTTTTTTTTAATGAGACAGAGTCTCGCTCTGTCACCTTGGCTGGAGTGCAGTGGTGCAATCTCGGCTGGTTGCAAACTTCGCCTCCTGGGTTCAAGAGATCCTCCTGCCTCACCCTCCCAAGTAGCTGGGATTACAGGCGCCTACCACCGCGACCAGATGATTTTTTGTATTTTTAGTAGGGACAAGGTTTCACCATGTTGGCCAGGCTAGTCTTGAACTACTAACCTCAGGTGATCCACCTACCTTGGCCTCCCAAAGTGCTGGGATTATAGGCATGAGCTACCACACCCAGCCAATTTTTTGTATTTTTAATCGAGATGGGGTTTCGCCATGTTGGCCAGGTTGGTCTTGAACTCCTCACCGCAGGTGATCTGCCCACTTCGGCCTCCCAAAGTGCTGGGATTACAGGTGTGAGCCACTGCGTCCGGCCTCAACTCCTATCCTTATCAATGCCATTTAATCTTACAATTTTCCATATGCCCTACACTCCTACCCACTCAAAGACAACTAATGATTAAGTAGGTAACCAATTTGTAGAAAATCCTCTGGGAGAGACATGATGAAACACTAATCCTTTTTTCCTTCATAACATCAATTTGGAATTAATAATCTCAGTTAGTTGGACAGAGTGGTTCACCAATGCGTGTCCTGTGCCTAGTACAGAGTCAGGCATTAAATAAAGGTTTGCTGAGTGAATGAATATTAAGAATTTACTTCCCATATCATGGTGAAGCTCAGGTCTACTGGTATTGCATGCAAGTCATTCTTTGGAACATGAAAATAATTCTTTGGGATACTGGCACAGAATGCAACTGCACCTACTACTTGATAGCACAACAGGGTGACTATAGTCAATAATAATTTAATTTTTTTTTTTTTGAGACAGAGTTTCACTCTTGTTGCCCAGGCTGGAGTGCAATGGTGCAATCTTGGCTCACTGCAACCTCCGCCTCCCAGGTTCAAGCTGTTCTCCTGCCTCAGCCTCCTGAGTAGCTGGGATTACAGGCACGTGCCACCATACCCGGCTAGTTTTGTATTTTCAGTAGAGATGGGGTTTCGCTATGTTGGTCAGGCTGCTCTCGAACTCCTGACCTCATGTTATCCACCCGCCTTGGCCTCCCAAAGTGCTGGGATTACAGGCATGAGCCACCATGATGGCCCAGTTGTATATTTTTAAATAACTTAAGGAAAGTAATTAGATTGTTTGTAACTTAAAGGATAAATGTTTAAGGGGATGGCTACCCCATTCTCCATGATGTGTTTATTTCACATTGCATGCCTGTATCAAAACATCTCAGGTATCCCATAAATATATAAACCTACTATGTACACACAAAATTAAAAACAAAATTTTTTTAATGCAAAAAAAAAAAAAAAAAAAGAATGCAACTGCAGCCTAACTAGTCACCTATGAAATGCATATCATTGTTCTTTTTTAGGGGCCCAGAGAGTAAAATGTGTGTGAATTTACAAAAATCCTTATGTTCTATGGGGCCAAAAAAAACGCCCTTCCAAGGAAGGAATTAAATTGCATTTAATTTCAAAACATCATTCCAATATCCACCAGCTGTGGAAATAATTTAACAGATATTTATTTGCCCATTATGTACAAAGCACTATGGTAGGCACTACTGGGGGTACAAAATGAGTAAAACATACTCTTTACCCTTAGGGGTACACAATCTTGTCAGCAGGCTAAGACAAACATACTCACAGCTATCATACAAAAGAAAAGGCTGGGCGCAGTGGTTCACACCGGTAATGCCAGCACTTTGGGAAGCCAAGACGGGAGGATCACCTGAGGTCAGGAATTCGAGACCAGCCTGACCAACATGGTGAAACCCTGTCTCTACTAAAAATACAAAATTAGCCGGTCGTGGTGGTGCATGCCTGTGATCCCAGCTACTCAGGAAGGCTGAGGCAGGAGAATTGCTTGAACTTGGGAGGCAGAGGTTGCAGTGAGCCAAGATTGCACCACTGCACTCCAGCCTGGGCATCAGGAAAGGAAATGTGGGAAACTCGGGAAGGGGAGAGGGGAAAGGGAGAAGGGGAAGGGAGAGGGGGAAGGGAGAAGGGGAAGGGAAGGGAAGGGGAAGGGGAAGGGGAAGGGGCTTCTTCCCCTACGTGGCCTGAGGTAATCCGTGAAAATGGTTCGCTATTCACTTGACCCAGAGAACCCCACAAAATCATGCAAATCAAGAGGTTCAAATCTTCGTGTTCACTTTAAGAATACTCATGACACTTCTCAGGCCATCAAGGGTATGCATATACGAAAAGCCACGAAGTATCTGAAAGCTACCACTTTACAGAAACAGCATGTACCATTCCAACATTACAATGGTTGCGTTGGTTGGTGTGCCCAGGCCAAGCAGTGGGGCTGGACAAGGTCAGTGGCCCAAAAAGCTTGCTGAATTTTTGCTACACATGCTTAAAAATGCAGAGAGTAATGCTGAACTTAAGGGTTTAGATGTAGATTCTCTGGTCGTTGGGCATATCAAAGTGAACAAAGCACCTAAGATGCGCCGCTGGACCTGCAGAGCTCATGGTCGGATTAACCCATACGTGAGCTCTCTCTGCCACATTGAGATGATCCTTACTGAAAAGGAACAGATTGTTCCTAAACCAGAAGAGGAGGGTGCCCAGAAGAAAAAGTTATCCCAGAAGAAACTGAAGAAACAAAAACTTATGACACAGGAGTAAATTCAGCTTTAAAGTAAATACAATTAAATATTTTTTTAAAAAAAGGAAAGAAAAGAAAGTAAATAAAGGCATAATCTGTATGAGCAGAGCCTATATTAACTGAGTAACAGGTATAAGGTAAAATTCATATTCCCCTTTATTTCTGTAACTTTTTTTTAGGTTTTATTCTGAAAGGATTGTTTTTGAGAAGTGCATTTATTGGAGAAAGATTCCCTGTTCTCTTAACCTAGTAAAACAGAGAACAGAAGCATGGAGAAAGAAAAGGAGAAAGTAGACAGAGCAAAACAAAATATAAAAACCAGACTGGATTTTTATTTAAATCCATGCCTTCTGTAAAAACTACTTGCAAGGCTGAAGAACTAACCATACTGAAATCAGTAATGACTTTTAAGACTAAACATATTGCAAATTATAATAAGCTTAAAGGCAATAATATTTTCTCTTTTAAAAGCAGGCAGGATGGGCATGGGAGCTCACGCCTGTAATCCCAGCACCTTGGGAGGCCAAGGTGGCCAGATCACTTGAGGCCAGGAGTTCAACATCAGCCTGGCCAAAACGGTGAAACCCCGTCTCTACCAAAAAAAAAAAATAGCCAGGTGTGGTTCGCGCGTGCCTGCAGTCCCAGCTACTTGGGAGGCTGAGGTAGGAGAATCATTTTTATCTAGGAGGCAGAGGTTGCAGTGAGCCAAGATCCAGCCTGGGCAACAAGAGTGAGACTGTCTCAAAAAATAAAATAAGAAAAGGAGAGGGGAGGGGAGGGGTAGGGTAGGGAAGGGGAGGGGAGGGGAGGGGTACGGTAGGGAAGGGGAGGGGAGGGGAGGGGAGGGGAGGGGAGGGGAGGGGAAGGGAGGGGGCAGAATTTCCCAATGTTTTTTAATAGCAAGCTGACCAGCTGGGCAAGGTGGCTCATGCCTGTAATCCCAGTGCTTTGGGAGGCCGAGGCAGGTGGATCACCTGAGGTCAGGAGTTCCAGACCAGCCTGACCAATATGGTGAAACCTTGACTCTACTAAAAATACAAAAATTATCTGGGCATGGTGGTGTGTGCCTGTAGCCCCAGCTACTTGGGAGGTTGAGACAGGAGAAATGCTTGAACCGGGAGGCAGAGGTTGCAGTGAGCTAAGATCATGCCACTGCACTCCAGCCTGGGCAACAGAGCGAGACTCTGTCTCAAAACAACAACAACAAAAACAGCAGGCAGACCTGTACCATGGGAAACAGATTACCCCCAGAAAGGAAGATTCGGAAGGAGAAAGGCCAGAAAGGGAAAGGGTGCAAAGAGCCACTGTGGTTAGGGAGGCCATTTCCTCCCAGGGAGCAGGAGATAGCAAGATC
This sequence comes from Homo sapiens, assembly GCF_000001405.40. NCBI lineage: Eukaryota > Metazoa > Chordata > Mammalia > Primates > Hominidae > Homo > Homo sapiens. Next base: position 205,204,078 of record NC_000001.11, read on the forward strand.
AGCAACAAGGGGCCTGATGCCCTAAATGTCAGGGAGTGGAAACTAGAATAAGAGCCTGAGTAGGTAGTGCCACATTATACTCATTCAATCAGATAGTCTCCCACTCAGTAAATGACAGTTCCATACAAGCTGTGGAGCCTGGGTGACGACTCATCTGTAACAGAGTCTCTTTACTGCCAGGGTGTATTTTGTATTCCCATGGTCAGGTCAGAAAAGAACAAAGGAAGAGCCGCAGAAGCAGAATTGGACTGGGAGCCTAGAGACTCGGGCCTAAATCTGCCTCTAGCTCAAAACTGTTCTGTCCCACATTCCATCTTTCTGTTCCTCTCATTCTTCTGCGAACCCCATGTTCCAACTTTCTAAATCAATGCTCACCATACACACACACACACACACACACACACAACCACTCAAACAGCCATATATATTTAGCATTAATTATATGCCTGTGCTTTAAGGTATATTATCTCCAAATGTCACAACTTTGTAAGGCAGGTATTATCACTCCCATTTTATTTATTTATTGAGATATAATTCACCCCTTTTAAGTGTACAATTCAGTGGCTTTTAGAATGTTCACAAAGTTGTACAAGTATCATCACTATTTAATTCCAGAGCACTCTCATCTCCTCCCAGAAAAATTCCATACCCATTAGCAGTCACCCCTTATTTGCTCATTTTCTTCTCCCCACATCTCCTAGCAACCACTAATCTACTTTCTATCTCTATGAATTTGCCTATTTTGGATATTTCATATCAATGGAATCATACAATATGTGGCATTGTGTATTACTCCCATTATATATATGAAGAACCCAAGATTCAAATAGGTTAAGTAACTTGCCCCAAGTCACACAGTTAAAAAGAGAATGCACTAGAATAGGAACCTAGGTTTCATTCAAATGCTATGCTTGCTTTTGGCCACTGAATGCTGCTTCCATGAGGGAAGAAAATTAAGAAAGAAAGACCAAGTTTTGGATATACTTGGAAAAATGGGATTTTGTTAATCTAAGGTATTACCTTAGAATAGATTATCTTTTATTAAAAGTAATAACCAAAACTACAGCACTATCTTTACTGAGCTTATGTTGAAATGCACTGGCAACTCTTCTAAACAGATGATAGCAAACTACCACAGAGTACACCCATCCCAGTCTCAGCACTGCTGTCACTGTGCTCCACCTCACAATCCCAGCTTCTCCCCACCCCTAAGCCCCATAAAGATGACAGCTCTATAAAATGAAGCTCTAAAGAATCTCCTCTTTCCCAACTTTTCATCCCTTCCCCAAATGTCACTCTGCCACTTAAACTTACTTATCATACAAATTTCTAAGATGACCAAGGAAAATGCCTATTTATTTTATTTTATTATTATTATTTTTTTTTGAGACACAGTCTCACTCTATCACCCAAGCTGGAGTGCACTGGCATGATCTCAGCTCACTGCAATCTCTGCCTCCTGGGTTCCAGCGATTCTCCTGCCTCAGCCTCCTGAGCAGCTGGGATTATAGGCCCGCACCGCCATGCCCAGCTAATTTTTTGTATTTTAGTGGAGACGATGTTTCACCATGCTGGCAGGCTAGTCTCGAGCTCCTGACCTCAGGTGATCCACCTGCCTCAGCCTCCCAAAGTGCTGGAATTACATGAGTGAGCCACCGCGCCCAGCCGAAAATGCCTATTTTAAATAAGTACACTAGTGCTTTTCCCCTTCTTTTAAATGCTGGCACATTTAAAAGGTGTGACAAAAAGAAGGTGAAGAATGTTGGAGAAACATAGCTGTAAGCTCACCAAAGGCAAAGAGCTATAAAAAAAACCTGAGAATTATAACTCATATAAAATGCTTATAACCTCCCTTAGCATTCTGCTTTTTTATGTACGTGTTTTATGTGTTGCACACGTATATGGTTTAGATTAGATTATACCTTTCTAGAGGACCAAGTTCAGGTCTTCTTAGACCTTTTTAATCCATCATCAAACATAAATGATTATTGATGATAATTATAATTATTTTTTCTTTCTTAAAAGTATAGAAGGGAAAGACTGATCTTCACTGGCCTAAGGCCAAGGCCAATGTCTTTATTTGACTCTTTATCCCCCATACGCAGCACATTGCTCAGTACATACCAGGCACTCAGGTATTTATTGAATAATAGCTAATACTTACATAGCACCTTAGCAGGCACTGGTTTTTTTTGGTTTTTTTTTTAGTTTTTTGTTTTTGAGACAGAGTCTCGCTCTGTCGCCCAGGCTAGAGTGCAATGGTGCAATCTCGGCTCACCAAAACCTCCGCCTCCCGGGTTCAAGCGATTCTCCTGCCTCAGCCTCCTGAGTAGCTGGGATTACAGGCATGCACCACCATGCCCGGCTAATTTTGTATTTTTAGTAGACATGGGGTTTCTCCATGTTGGTCAGGCTGGTCTCAACCTCTTGACCTCAGGTGATCCACCCGCCTCAGCCTGCCAAAGTGTTGGGATTACAGGCGTGAGCCACCGCACCTGGCCTGTTCTTTTTTTTTTTTTTTTAAAGACAGAGTCTTGCTTTGTCGCCCAGGCTGGAGCACAGTGGGGCAATCTCGACTCACTGCAACCTCCGCCTCCCAGATTCAAGCGATTCTCCTGCCTCAGCCTCCTGAGTAGCTGGCATACAGGCACCTGCCACCCTGCCCGGCTAATTTTTGTATTTTTAGTAGAGATAGGGTCAGGCTGGTCTCAAACTCCTGACCTCAAGTGATCCGCCCTCCTTGGCCTCCCAAAGTGCTGGGATTACAGGCATGAGCCACCGCTCCCGGCCCAGGTCCTGTTCTAAACATGCACATAGATTCACTCCCAAGAACTCTAGAGATCAGTACTGTTATAATCCCTATTTCCAGATGAGGAAATAAAGGCACAGCACAGTTGTGATTTGTCCAAGATCATTTGGTTAGTAAGAGGTGAAACCAGGATTCAAAGAAGGCACCACAGACCACAGAACTCCAACAACACATATTTAAGTCACTCCAGTATCTTTTTTTTTTTTTTTTGAGACAGAGTCTTGCTGCGACACCCAGGCTGGAGTGCAATGGCTCGATCTCGACTCACTGCAACCTCCGCCTCCTGGGTTCAAGCGATTCTCCTGCCTCAGCCTCCCGAGTAGCTGGGGTTACAGGCACGCGCCATCATGCCTGGCTATTTTTTGTACTTTTAGTAGAGATGGGGTTTCACCACGTTGGCCAGGCTGGTCTCGAACTCCTGACCTTGAGTGATCCACCTGCCTCGGCCTCCCAAAGTGCTGGAATTACAGGCGTGAGCCGCCGCACCCGGCCCACTCCAATTTCTTAAAATTGAGAGGCTTATGACAAATTGCAACAGCTAGGAACTTTACTGGATAATAAAACAAGAAAAATACTTTCCCATGCCGGGCACAGTGGCTCATGCCTGTAATCCCAGCACTTTGGGAGGCCAAGGCAGGCAGATCGCTTGAGGTCAGGAGTTTGAGACCAGCCTGGCCAACACGGTAAAACCCTGTCTCTACTAAAAATACAAAAACAAAATTAGCTGGGCCTGGTGGCAGGCGCCTATAGTCCCAGCTACTCAGGACGCTGAAGCAGGAGAATCACGTGAACATGGGAGGTGAAGGTTGCAGTGAGCCAAGATCACGCCACTGCACTCCAGCCTGGGCAATACAGAGAGACTCTGTCTCAAAAAAAAAAAAAAAAAAAAAAAAAAAAAAAAAAAAAAGAAAAAAAATACTTTTCCCTCTGCTACTCTTAATACTCCACCCTGCCTTTCCTCAGAAGTGCTCAAAGCCTTTATTTATGTATTTATTTATTTATTTTTTGAGACAGAGTTTCGCTCTTCTTGCCCAGGCTGGAGTGCAATGGCGTGATTTCGGCTCACCACAACCTCCACCTCCCACATTCAAGTGATTCTCCTGCCTCAGCCTTCCCCAGCAGCTGGGATTACAGGCATGTGCCACCATGCCCAGCTAATTTTTTTGGATTTTTAATAGAGACGGGGTTTCTCCATGTTGGCCAGGCTGGTCTCCAACTCCCAACCTCAGGTGATCCACCCACCTCAGCCTCCCAAAGTGCTGGGATTACAGGTGTGAGCCACCGCACCCAGCCTTACTTTTTAAATTCTAAAATATCATGTACATTACATATTCTCTACACTGACCCCAGTGAATTCAGAACTATAAAATGTTAGAGGCAAATATTATTTTGGGGTCCTTTACTCTTTTGTGGGTGAAAGTGAGACAATAAAAATTTTTGGTATCATATGGCATTACAAATGGTATATAGACATGAAAATTGTTTTACTATTGTTACCATACTTATACTCCAATCATTTCAAATTTAGAGTTAATCCCTGGTCTTCTTTCAGTTGCTCAAATACCATACTACATCAACCTAGAGGCACAGTTCCATTCTGAAGTGATGCTTAAAACCTACAGGTTTGTTAGGGTAAGAATTGAGTGTTCCTTCAACACCCAAGTTCCTATTAATCAGAGACTAACATTCATAAAAGAAAGTTGAGGACTGGGTGTGGTGGCTGATTACTGTAATTCCAGCACTTTGGGAGGTTGAGTTGGAAGGATCGTTTGAGGCCATGAGTTTGAGACCAGCCTGGGCAACAAAGTGAGACCCCATCTTTACAAAAAATTTAAAAAAGAAAGTTGAGACAGTCTCTGAATAACTTGACCTTACAAAGATGGCCTGTAAATGGGGAGAACAAGAGCTAGTTGTCTTTTTAGGAGTGATTTCTACTTTCTGACATGACCACCTAAACAGCTAGGAAAATGCATCCCTCAAATATACATATTAAGTGTCCCTTCACTAACTTTCCTTGGTGCATTTTTACCCCCAAACTCTCCACGCTGAAAGGAAGAAAAGCATTTTATGGAACAAAACCAAATTGCTCCCACTCCTGCCATCTGCACCCTCCCAGGTTTTTATCTGGGATGGACAGACTCCCGATGGTGAAGAGAGTTAAATACGCAAAGATCAGTTCATGATGCAGTCAACTGGAAAAGCCAATGAAGTGAAATGCAAAGGTATATTTGTATGTCTTAAGTTGTTTTTTAAAGAATAAAAACAACAGCCAACCAAAGTGCCTTGAAAACCTCCATCTCTCTGAGGTTAATCAATTCTCTTTGTTTTAGAAGCAAGTCTAAAATAAATAGTTGTTTTAAAATAAAAACAGCAATAAAGGGCTTTTTAAGATAAGCTGTGAGAGAAACTTCCGAGCAGGAGACACCTCTGGAAAGCACTGTTATGGGTGCGGGTGAAAGTACACATTCTGGGGATCGTCTCAGAAAACATTAGCCCTTCCCATCAGCTGTTTTCTGGTAGCCTCACAGATACTGGTTCTCTCTACAAGTCCATTCCAGGACAGTATATTTCTGGACGTAAGATGTCAAAGACTAGTTTCAGAAAAACTAGTCATCCCCAGAAATGGTGATAAAAATAAGATACTAAGATCATGACAGGGTCCTAAATGATACCGTTCCATTTAGTTGGTTTGGATAGGAATTTAAAAAGCCTTATTTTACCTTGTAACATAAAAGGAGGGGGATGACTAGTTTTTCTGAAACTACTAGTTTTTCTGATACTGTCATGATCTTAGTATCTTATTTTTATCACCATTTCTGGATTCCCAGTCGGATGTAGGATATTAAGCGCAAAACTTTGGGAATATAAGACCTAACACGCAAAGTCAGAACAATTCATCCAGTTCTAAGCCTTGTGTTCAAATTTGCTATGAGCATCTAAATTCATGGTTCTGAAAGTATTTTAACGGACCACCTGCATCACCTTCCCCAGTGTCTTTTATTATTACTATTATTATTATTATTATTATTATTGAGACAGAGTCTTGCTCCGTCGCACAGGGTGGAGTGCAGTGGCACAATCTCTGCTCACTGCAACCTCCGCCGCCTGGTTTCAAGCGATTCTCCTGCCTCAGCCTCCCCAGTGGCTGAGATTACAGGCCTCAACCACCACACCTGGCTAGTTTCTTATATTTTTGGTAGAGACGGGGTTTCACCATGTTGGCCAGGCTGGTCCCGAATTCCTGACCTCAAGTGATCCGCCCCGCCTCTGCCTCCCAAAGTGCTGGGATTACAGACGTGAGCCACCGCGCCCGGCCTCTTCAGGGTCTTTTCATGTTAAATTAGATTCTTAGGACCCACTTCACACACCTATTCAATAGGAATTTATGAGCTAGAGCACGAGACATGGCATTTTTAATACGCCCCTGGGGTGAGTTTAATACACACTTTAGTTTGAGAATCACTAAATTAAACCCACAGACTTCTTTGCTGTTTTGTCCCCAAGATATCTATCTACGTGGAATGTCAGTCCCTTCTCCCTTCCAATCTAAAGTTATTTCCTAATTAGACGCAGTAGTTAACAAATCCTCCAGTTCCCCACCAACAGCAGTTTAAAAGGAAGCAAGACGTTAGGAAAGATTAAAGACTGCACGATTTTAAGTGTTTGGGGGCCTCTGGCACATCCTAGAAAGAATCATGCAAGAAAGAACAAGAGTAGCTAGTTCTCCATTGGCTCAGGACCAAAATGATCCCTTCCCTCTCTTCTTCACCTTAAGCATGAGCAACATCTCTGGCAATTCCGTGGCACCCATCAGATATGATTTCCTCTGGCGACCCCCAACCCTATTTAGAGAATGTCCCCTCTTCACAGAGCTGCCTCATGATTGGTGTGAACACATTTCACATACATCATCAAACCCACACACCCGACTACAGTCCCATGGCCTCCTCGGACTCCCGGGACTCGCTGCCGCCTCTGCTCCATCTCTAAACTGGGGCTCTGACCCACAACGGCGCACGCGCCCGCCCCCAACTCAGAGCAACTTTCCCCACTCCTCGGATTAACTGCTACCCTCTCCGAACGCCGGCCCGCCCCAGGTCCGTCAGCGCACACCCCGGTCCCCGGGGTCCCGCTCCGGGAACTCCGGCCCTCGGTTGCCCCTGGCTCCCGGTCCCCCAGCGGGCCCCTTCCTCCCCTCCTCAGAAGGATGCCCTCCCAAGGTATCCCAGATCCGGCCGGCCCATGCCCGGGGACCCGGCCACACGACACGACTGCCCCTTTCCGCCTGCCCGAGAAGACTCGGGCTTGTTTTGCAGGGCAGGGGTGCGGTCCGTCCTCCGATTTGCCTCTCCTGCCCTCTCTCCCTCCGGGCTGCCCTCCTTACCCGCCTGCAGCCCGGTTTCGGCGACATCGCCTGCAGGGCCGCGCTCGGCCCCGCCGCCGCCCGTGAGGGAGGAGAGACAAGTGTGGTTGTGGGAGCACTTGATGTCGCGGAAGAACTTCTGGGTCTCGCGCAGGTTCTGTCGCAGCCGTCCCAGGTAGCGGCGGTAGCGGCCGAAGCCCCGGCACAGCTCGCGGATCATTCCGCCGCCGCCGGGGCCGGGACCCGAGACGGGCTCGCTGCCCCATGGCACCCCGTCGCCCTCCATCGCCTCTGCCCGCTCTGTCTTTGCGGCTCGGTCCCCGGCCGCAGGCCCGGCCTCCCTCCTCCCCGCCCCCCAGTGCCGAAGGGAGGAGGAATCCGCCTCCTGACGCCCCCGCCTGCAGTCAGCCTGGCTCCCAACCTCCGTCACTGCCGTTGCAAACAAACCAAACCGCAGTGCGCCGCTATCGGAACCTTTCTCTCCACTATCCAGAAGCGTGAGGGAAGGATCGCTGGAGGACACCCTCGCCGCGGGGTCTCCTGGGACTTGCAGTCCGGGCTGGGACCAAACGCCAAAACCTCAAGGCTGGAGAAGGGGAGGCTGTGGATGGGACTGATCCCTTTTGGAGAAAACCCTCACTCGTTCTTGTGTTTTCGCGCTCTCTTCATTTTAAAAAGTGTTCCTAATCCCTCTATGAGCGTCCCTGAGGAGAGGGAGGAGCTGCAGGACCTGAGTGCCAGCAGAAGTGGGGGGGCCTTACCGAAATCGTAGCGAAAGATGTTAATAGTAGAGAAAAGGAAGGAAACAAGACTGAAGACAGTCATCTCCATGGCTACCCTAAGTGGCTCTCTAGTGTTTCGGATACAGTAGATACTGGGGAATCGGCTAAAAGTACCCTGGAAATCGGCTGAAAGTACCCTGGAAATAGGGAAATCTCTTATATTTGCATTGCGTTCCCCTTTTCCAACTTTCCTTCTCCAGACTTGGAAAGGAAGGGTGTGAAAGGATCAACAAGAGCTGTAAGCTGAACTTCAGTGGGTTCCTGAAGTAGGGAGACCGGACTGGGTAAGGGGAAGTTGAGGTTTGTAGCCTTCCAAACTATTTCTGATTATCTTAACTTGGTTTCTGCTAATATGGAGGACTTTCATTGACACACACAGTCACAGACTCCTGGACACAATTACAAAGGGGGCAAAACTTGACGTCACCTCTTTTGTGCTTCCTGAATTATCTCTCCCCTCTTCACCAGGCACAGAGCCCATCTGTATCTTTCTTGCTATAGAAAGACACCGTCTTTTACCTAGGCCAGACTTCTTCTCTGATAGGCTACATGATGTAGTTCCTTGACTGAAATTAAGAGGAGATTTGAGTTTGGATCTGGACTCTTCCTATACCTTGCATTGTGATCTCGGGCAAGACCCCGTTTCATCTTCTATAAAGTAAGGGTTTAGAATGGCAGATCTTTAAGCCCTTTTGGTTTTAAATTTTTGTGAGTCCTGCTTCAGAAATTTTACTTCTCCTGACCTCTCATCGCAGAACACCCAGGTGTTCTTAGCCAAATGATGTCGTGATATTTGGATTAATTGTTGTAAGATGTGAAGGCCTTACCTTTCCAGGGGCATTAGCATTTTATAAAAAGGGGTCACTAATTCAAATGAATCTGTATTTGATAAATGTCTGTGAGGGCTGACTGCAAGGAGGGAGCCTCATGCTCCTTCCCATTTACCCACTCCCCCTTCTGCCTTTTACTTGGTCACGTATTTTCCATCAGCCATTCTTCTTTTGCAAGATTATATTCCCCATGCAATCCCCAAAGGTTCAGTAAAATAGAAATGAAAATTAAAAATGGGAATTTTAATACAAAGTAGATACTATTTTTAAAATAGAAGAGCTGTAAGAAAGCAATGTGTAATGATTTGCCACACACACGAATTTCTAGCACAGGAGATCAGATAAGAGCACTCAAGCTGGAGTTATCCAGAAAAGGAATCTATCTTGAAGAAGGGGCAAAATTTAGATAGGTGGAAGTAATCAGAGAGGGCATTATTTCAGGTAAATATCACAAAGCCCACCCTTTTAAAAACTATTCCTTAGTACTTTGCATTTATTTTCAAAATAAGTAATACACGAATGTGGTATAAAATTCAAATGGTGCAAAGGATATATAAGGAAAAACTAAGTCTTTCTTAGTTTTTCTGTTCACCTCCCAGTCACCTAGTTCCCCTCCCAGGAGGCAACCACTGTTGTAGATATAAATCATGTATAAATAGATCCTATATATGTATTTATATATGTGTATGCATGTATTTTAAATACAAATGATAGCATACGTAATACATATTTGATTATGGCCTTGCAGACTTCTGTACCAAAACATAAAGGTCTGTTTCATTCTTTTTAACTGTGTAACATACTACCACATGGATTGGCATGTTTTATTTAACAAGTCTTCTATTGGCGGACCTTTAGGTTTTTTGCAGTCTTTTGATATTAAAAACAATACTGCAAGAACTAATCTATGTACATCATTTTGAATATGTGTAAGTATATCTCATACCTATTTTTGATCTGTTGAGAAAGGCAATAATTTTTTGCTATTTAAAATCTTAAAAAATGCAAGTGACAATGAGCCCTTTGTAAATCATAATAACTTACCAATTAAAATACATATTTTCTTCAAATATCTAATTCAAAGGACAAATGGAGAAAATAAAGTTTTGAACGGTAAGAAGAGAGGGTTTAAGTTGGTATAGAAAAGTATTTCCTGGCTGGGCACAGTGGCTCACACCTGTAAACCCAGCACTTTGGGAGGCCAAGGTGGGTGGATCATGAGGTCAAGAGTTCGAGACCATCCTGGCCAACATAATGAAATCCCGTCTCTACTAAAAATACAAAAATTAGCTGGACGTAGTGACGCATGCCTGTTGTCCCAGCTACTCAGGAGGCTGAGGCAGGAGAATCGCTCAGGCTTGGGAGGCGGAGGTTGCAGTGAGCTGAGATTGCACCACTCTACTCCAGCCTGGCGACAGAGTGAGACTCTGTCTCAAAAAAACAAAAACCAAACAAAAGAAAAGTATTTCCTGGCCACGTGCAGTGGCTCATGCCTGTAATCCCAGCACTTTGGGAGGCTGAGGCGGGTGGATCATCTGAGGTCAGGAGTCTGAGACGAGCCTGGCCAACAGGGCAAAACCCTGTCTCTACTAAAAATACAAAAATTAGCTGGATGTGGTGGCATGCACCCGTAGTCCTAGCTACTAGGGAGGCTGAGGCAGCAGAATTGCTTGAACCCAGGAGGTGGAGGTTGCAGTGAGCCGAGATCATGACACTGCACTCCAACCTGGGCAACAGAGTCAGACTCTGTCTCAAAAAGAAAGAAAAGTATTTCCTGAAAGTGTCGAGAGTTAAACAATTAATGAAGATGAACACACAGATCTACTTTTGTTCCCTCCTAGAACACCATTAAAATGACAGTAATGGGATTTTTTAAAGCACAAAGCCAGGATAATGAGAGGAGTTGGTAGCAAAAAAGAAAGTGGAAGATGAAAAGCAAATGGGCAAGTTTTAACTAAGAAACCTGAATCCTAAACCCAAAGTAATAAAGTTGAGATCCAACCTTATATTGAAGAATCCCCTAAGTCTTAGAAACTGGTGACAGTAGGTCCCCCCACTGCCTATTGTGGAAGTATAGTTGCTTAAGAGCAGTTAAATCCTGAGGTCACTTCCTCATCTTCAACTTCCACCCCACCCTCCGAAAAACAAGACTGAAGTATTTATTCTCCAGAGAGGGTTAAATAGCTCTCTGCATAAACAGGGAGATAAGTGAATGTATGGATATTGGATACCCTCTTCATTCAATTCCTAGATCTTTGGCTACCAGCTGTTTACCCTCCAAAGATAAAACTTAAAGTGTCATCATGAAGGAATATGAGCAGCCCAAGAAGAAAGACCCAAGTTACTGACATCAGAACTGAGATTTTTGTCTGGCTGTTTGTTTCACTGCTGTATCTCCAGCACCTAGAATAGTGCCTGTCACTTAGTAGGTACTCGTTAGATATTTGTTGAGTGACTGAGTGTTCACTGTAGATTGATTGATTGATTAAGTAGAGGCAGGGTTTTGGGGTTTGCCATGTTGTCCAGACTGATCTCGAACTCCTGGACTCAAGTGATACACACCTGCCTTGGCTTCCCAAAATACTGGGATTACAGGCGTGAGCTATCATGCCCAGCCAACATTTTTTAACATTCAGGAAATCACAAAAGAGAAAGTAAAAACCACTCATACTTTTACTACCCAGAAAAAAACAGTAGGTTATATTGGTATCCATTAATGTTGTCATTGGAGGAAACGAGATAGGTGAGAAATATTCTTTCTAACTTTACTTTTCTATACAAGTTCCTCTTGGTTTGATGATTTCTGGAGAGATTCTGAAGCCTTGATCTTCCTGTTCATGTAGGTGGAAATCATTTTTTTAGAACACCATAAAACATTAACACTTAATTCTTCCATATGAATTAAGAACAGTTTACTAAGAGAAAGTATGACTATTTTCTGTTATGCAACATAAAATCAGAATCACAAATCCAAGAATTTTAAAAATCTACAAATTGAAGGAAAAATAAAGAATTACATATTATTGAGTTTTATTATATTATATTGAAAAATTATATTGATAAATATAAGTATTTCTTTACTACTTGTTTGCTCATTATCATCTTCTAAAGTTACCAGCAGGTAGGTAATATTTAGCTCCAAAAGAGAGGACAAATTATGGAAGAAAAGATGAAAAATACAACCCATTAACCCAATTTTTTTCTATGAATTGGGAAAAGTCACCATTATCGAATTTAACAACCAAACATACTTTCTTGAATCTCAATACTGATTCCCAAGGGAACATGTTTGAGAATCCCTGGTTCTAGACAATCTTGCCCTCTTCCCTGCCTATAGTGTATAATGCTGGCAGTGTTGCAGAACAGTGCTTCTGAAACTTCAGTGTGCTCATGAATCATGTGGAGATCTTGTTAAAATGCACTTCTGATTTAGTAAATCTAGGGTGGTGCTTGGGATTCTGCATTTATTTTATTATTATTATTAATTTTTTTTTTTGAGACGGAGTTTTGCTCTTGTTGCCCAGGCTGGAGTGCAGTGGCATGATCTCAGCTCACTGCAACCTCCGCCTCCTGGGTTCAAGCAATTCTCCTGCCTCAGCCTCCTGAGTAGCTGGGATTACAGACACACGCCACCAAGCCCAGCTAATTTTTTGTATTTTTACTAGAGATGGGGTTTCATCATGTTGGCCAGGCTGGTCTCAAACTCCTGACCTCAGGTGATCCACCCACCTCGGCCTCCCAAAGTGCAGGGATTACAAGCATGAGCCACTGCGCCCAGCCTATCTTATTTTATTCTATTTATTTTATTTATTTATTTATTTTTGAAGCAGAGTCTTGCCCTCTGTCACCTAGGCTGGAGTGGAATGGCATGATCTCGGCTCACAGCAACCTCTACCTCCCAGGCTGGAGGTAAGTGAAAGTGCTTTGAAATGGAAATTGGCCAGGTGTAGTAACTCAGGCCTGTAAATCCCAGCACTTTGGGAGCCCAAGGCAGGAGGATTGCTTGACCCCAGGAGTTGGAGACCAACCTGGGCAACATGGTGAAACTCCATCTCTACAAAAAACTTAAAAATTAGCCAGGTGTGGTGGCACACGCCTGTAGTCCCAGCCACTTGGAAGGCTGAGGTGGGAGGATCACCTGAGCCTGGGGAGGTTGAGGCTGCAGTGAGCCATGATCATGCTGCTGCACTGCAGCCTGGGCAAGAGAGTGAGACCATGTCTCAAAAAAAAAAAAAAAAAAAAAAAGAAATCCTGTAAAAATGTAGGGAAAAGCAAGGGAATCAGAGAGAATCTAACCCGAATTTCCAGTCCTGGCCGTGCTGCTTACTTATTTCATGATCGTAAGCAAATTACTTAGAGCCTCATTCACTTCATCTGTAGAGGAGAACTAATACCCAACTCACAGGGTTGTGAAGATTAAATGACATAATGTTTAAAGCAGTTAGCACCTTACTTTGCACACAGACATGCTTAGGAAATGTTTTCTGTCTGTAGTAACTATTCACATTCAGGATTATGTATTTTTACAAGGAGGATAGCATTTCCAAGAATATTTTATGAGATTCTCTACATGAAGGTTTATTAACTTGAAGATTAAAGCTCTATAAAATTGAACTGCTAAATGCTATTTAATTATACATCAAATATCATTCCAATGCTGAATATTTCATCAGTGCCATGCCTGGCTGTTAGGATGTAGAGCATTGGAGGGAAACAATCAAAGGGAATTTGGTATAACTCTAAACAGAGATCATCTTTGTTTCACTGCCAAGTAGAAGAACAAGGTTTTCCAGAAATGTTTTAGAGTAACTGATCCAAAGCTTTCCAGAAGCCCTGAACATAGTTTTGTCACAATTCATTTTTCATCAGTAAGACAGTAGATCGGCATTGCTTTTCTTTTTCTTTTCTTTTTTGAGACGGAATTTCGCTCTTGTCACCCAGGCTGGAGTGCAATGGCGCAATCTTGGCTCACTACAACCTCCGCTTCCTGGGTTGAAGGGATTCTCCTGCCTCAGCCTCCCAAGTAGCTGGGATTACAAGCACCCACCACCACACCTGGCTAATTTTTTGTTTGTTTGTTTTGAGATGGAATTTCGCTCTTGTTACCCAGGCTGGAGTGCAATGGTGCAATCTCGGCTCACTGCAACCTCCGCCCAGGTTCAAGTGATTCTCCTGCCTCAGCCTCCCGAGTAGCTGGGATTACAGGAATGCACCACCATGCTCAGCTACTTTTGTATTTTTAGTAGAGACAGGGTTTCTCCATGTTGGTCAGGCTGGTCTCGAACTCCTGACCTCGGGTGATCCACCCGCCTCAGCCTCCCAAAGTGCTGGGATTACAGGCATGAGCCACCGGGCCCATCCCCATTATTGCTTTTCTAAGTCTAAATGGCTGTGATCCTTTCTCCACTATGTTATCTGACAGTTCAGTGGAACCCATATTTGGTTTATTTCCCTACCTACCTGGAATAACACCTTATAATTGGTTATATTCTTATCTCTGGGCTGATCCTAGGTGGATAAAGATAGATAGATTAACACCTACCAGTACCCTTTTCTATGTCAATGTCATTTATTTATTTATTTATTTATTTTTGAGATGGGGTCTCTCTCTCTCAATCTCTCTGTCGCCCAGGCTGGGGATGAAGTGGTGCAATCTCAGCTCACTGCAGCCTCAACTACACAGGGTCAAGCGGTTCTACCACCTAAGCCTCTTGAGTAGCTGGGACCACCATGCCCGGCTAATTTTTTTTTCATGGAGTCTCACTATGCTGCCCAGGCTTGTCAACATTATTTTGATAGAGGTTTTCTAGAAGATTCTGAAGCCCAATATCTGAAACATATTCCATCCAGCTTAGTCTGTATCTATCCACATATGCCAAGCCCAATGCCTGAAACAAAGAGTATACTCAATATATATTATCTGAAAGAAAATATTTCCTTTCATTCCCCTCCCTGCGCCCTTTCTCATAAATCCAGCCACCTCTCCAGGGAGGTGGTTTGATGGAAGTGACGGTTAGGATTCTGAAGCAAAGGTGGAAGGCATTCTGGTCAAGAGAACATTCTCTATTCCCAAATTTCAGAGGAAAGAGGGACCTCCACCTATCGAGCTTCACGTGAGCCTCCAAGTGCTTGGAAGAAAGTTCCCGGCACCTGGTTGAGCCACCATCACATATCTCTGTGTTGACAGGGTCCTACCATTTTCCTAGAGCTGATTTCAGAAGCACCAGTCTAGGCACTTTCTCAAAATAAGGCTTAGGGATCCATTTAGGCAAGTTTCCAGTTTACATGCACAAATTTCTTGCATAGGGAATATGACAAATTTTAAGGATGTGGAGGAATAAAGAGTAAAAAATAGTATTTAAAACATTATAAAAATAAATCAATTTTACATAACATTTTAACAGTCTCACATTCTAGCATAAAATTTAGGATTATTTCTTAGCACTGCCTCCCATATTTATCCATGACTTACCCAAAATGTATCAATATAGTTTATATCATATTTCTTTTTTTTTTTTTTGAGATGGAGTCTCGCTCTGTCGTCCAGGCTGGAGTGCAGTGGCGCAGTCTCGGCTCACTACAAGCTCCGTCTCCCAGGTTCACGCCATTCTCCTGCCTCAGCCTCCTGAGTAGCTGGAACCACAGGCGCCCACCACCAGGCCCGGCTAATTTTTTTTTGTATTTTTAGTAGAGATGGGGTTTCACCATGTTAACCAGGATGGTCTCGATCTCCTGACCTCATGATCCGCTCGCCTCGGCCTCCTAAAGTGCTGGGATTACAAGCATGAGCCACCGCGCCCGGCCCAACATATTTAATTCTTACAACAACCCCAGATAGTTTTATCCTTATTTTACAGATGAGGAAATTGAGACTAAGGCTAAGTGATTTTTCTAAGTCCATATAGCTAATAACACAGATTTGTTTGACTCCAAAGCCCTAATTCTTCTAGCTCTACACAATTTTGCATTCTAATGCTTTCATTTTATATTACTTAAAGGCGGCTTTTAATATTTCTATATATTCATCATATTATCCCTTTTAATAGCAGCACAATGTTCCATTCCATTATATTGTTGTGCCTTGTTCCTCATCCATTCCCTATTCTTGAGACATTTTGGTAGTTTCAGGTTTTTCATTATTATTATTATTTTTGAGATGGAGTCTCACTCTGTTGCCCAGGCTGGAGTGCAAATGGTGTGATCTCAGCTCACTGCAACCTCCACCTCCTGGGTTCAAGCAGTTCTCGTGCCTCACCCTCCTGAATAGCTGGGACTACCGGTGCCCGCCACCATGCCCAGCTAATTTTTGTATTTTTCATAGAGACAGGGTTTCATCATGTTGGCCAGACTGATCTTGAACTCCTGACCTCAGGTGATCTGCCTGCCTTGGCCTTCCAAAGTGTTGGGATTACAGGCGTGAGCCACTGCGCTCCGCCAGGTTTTTCATTATTATAAACAATGCTGCAATAAACTTTTTTTGTCATTGTTCATGTAGCTTGTTTTCTTCTTTTGAATTATTTCCTGGAGATCAATTCCCAGGAGGGTATTACTGAGTAAAAGAGTATAAACCTCTATATGGCTGTAGCTCTATGGTACTAAACTGCCATCTGATAGAACTGCACTGTGTCATTGCCTGTTGAAACAGAGTAATATCTTCTTTCACCAGCACCCTGTGAGAGATATAAGACAAGCCTGGGTGGTCTCATTAATGAAAACGCCTTTTGTCCCTATGTCTGCTTGGGTATGTCCCAGAGCCATATGAGCTGCCTGAAAATGGCTTATGACATAAGGATACATAGTCCAGAATAGTATCTCACATGGATGATGTGATTCCCCTTCTCACGAGAGACTTCCTTAAGTGGTCTTTTTGAAGTCACAAGATCAGCAGAAGGTTTTTCAAACAACTGACATTTTCCTCTTAATTCAGAGCAACTCTCCATTCCCATGTTGGAAAAAAGTGTGGTGCCCGTTAGAACTGAAGCCTAGACTTCAGTTAGAATGGCTCATTGTTTACCATTCCAATCTCAGTGTAAAAGGGTTGGGACATTTAGGTAGTTTCAGGTTTTTCATTATTATTATTATTTTTATTATTATTATTATTATTATTATTGAGATGGAGTTTCACTCTGTTGCCCAGGCTGGAGTGCAAATGGCATGATCTTGGCTCACTGCAACCTCCACCTCCCGGGTTCAGGCGATTCTCCCGCCTCGGTGGGTCCTTCCAGGAAGGACAAAAACAAGAAACCTTTTTTTTTTTTTTTGAGACAGAGTCTCGCTCTGTTGCCCAGGCTGGAGTGCGGTGGCGCGATCTTGGCTCACTGCAAGCTCTGCCTCCCGGGTTCAAGCGATTCTCCTGCCTCAGCCTCCCGAGTAGCTGGGATTACAGGCGCACACCACCACGCCCGGCTAATTTTTGTATTTTTAGTAGAGACGGGGTTTCACCGTGTTGGCCAGGATGGTCTCGATCTCTTGACCTCGTGATCCGCCCGCCTCGGCCTCCCAAAGTGCTGGGATTACAGGCGTGAGCCACTGTGCCTGGCCACAAAGTTTGTTTTATGGACTAAATGGGAAGGTGTGTTATGCATATAGTAAGTGCTCAACTAATTAATAAATCTATCAACAAATGTAATCAAACAAGTCTTCCCCTACATCAGTGGTTCTCAAACTTCAATGTACATATCACTTAGGAAACTTGTCTAAAAAGCAGAGTTTCAGGCTCCACCCCCAGAAATTCGGTTTCTATCAGGTTGGAATGGGACCTGGGAATCTGCATATATAACTAAATTTCAAGGTGATTATGTTGCTGGTAGTCCATGAACCATACTTTCAGAAACACTACCCTACAGTCTCAGAGAACAAAGAGAAGAAAAATAATTCCGTTTTAATATGCCATACAACTCTATAGCATGCAGATATAAAATTAAGGAGATCCAAATATTGAATGTTCTATTTTCAAGATGATATTTAGTTCTTCCTTACTTAAAAGAATTAGAATCATCCTAAAGCAATATTTTATCCTTTTAACATTCATGATATGGATGAATGTGTGAAAACATCTCTTTTTGGAGTCATCTTGATCCCTCACAGAGATCTCTCTCTCCTCCAGAACTTGGTACTTAATTAGCTCCCCTTGGAGTGTTGGCAGACATTACCATTTCAATCTTGTGTTGTTAATTGACATTTCGTCTGTATCTCACCTCCCCAACTGGACTTTAAGGCAGGGACGAATGTCTTTTATTGTTCTATATCCTCCACAAGCATATTGTAAAGCCTTTGTACATGATATGTGTTTCATAAATATATGTGAACGAATGTAGAGATATTGAATTGCAGACTAATATTAATTAGAGTATTACTTACCATAAAGTGACTCAAAATTATAGTTGTGAAAAGGTGAGCTATTAGGCTTTTAAGCTTAGAGTAGGGGTGTCCAGTCTTTTGGCTTCCCTGGGCTACACTTGAAGAAGAAGAATTGTCTTGGGCCACACATAAAATACACTAACGATAGCTGATAAGCTTAAAAAAAAAAGGAAAAATGTAATAGAGAAACATGTAATAATGTTCAAAATGCTTCTGAGTACATGATGGTTTTTTGTTTCGTTTTGTTTTTGTTTTTGAGACAGAGTTTTGCTCTTGTTGCCCAGGCTGGAGCCAGGCCACATGATGTTTTAAGAAACATGGAGCCAGGCCACATGATGTTTTAAGAAAGTTTACAGGCCCAGAGCGGTGGCTCACGCCTGTAATCCCAGCACTTTGGGAGGCCAAGGCAGGCAGATCACCTGAGGTCGGGAGTTTGAGACCAGCCTGATCAACATGGAGAAACCCGGTCTCTACTAAAAATACAAAATTAGCCAGGCGTAGTGACGTGTGCCTGTAATCCCACCTACTTGGGAGGCTGAGACAGCAGAATCGCTTGAACCCGGGAGGCGGAGGTTGCGGTGAGCCAAGATCGCACCATTGCCCTCCAGCCTGGGCAACAAGAGCAAAACTCTGTCTCAAAAAAAAAAAAAGAAAGAAAGAAGGTTTACAAATTTGTGTTGGGCCTCATTCAAAGCCGTCCTGGGCTGCATGCGGCCTGTGGGCTGGGGGTTGAACATGCTTGCTTTAGAGTCAGACGGAGCTGAGCACAGATCTTGGACCTATTTTTAAGTGCTGTAACTTCTCTAAGCCTATTTCTCATTTGTAAGGTGGTAATAACACACCTTGTAGGGTTGTTTCAGGAGAGTGTTCACAAGGTTCCTAGCAAAATGTCAAACACCTGTGGATCTCTTTAAATGGTGGACTTTTACTATTACTATTGTATCTAAAAGTACCACATATGATTATAGATAGAACTGCCCACAGATATTTATTTTCAGATGTAAAATAATAAACAATCGATTCTCTCTGAGCAAAGCTGATATTTTCTCTTTCTTTTTAAGGTCTAGAATTTTCAGCTTTAAGTAACAGATTGTCCAGAGGTTTGTATGGATTCCCTATAGAGATGGGAAAGGGCACAAAGCAGCCATTTTACCAGTCCCAGGCTTTCACACATAGTAGTACAATCAGGGTTTAAGTTTATGCTTCACAGTCCTCCTCTGTTCATGGCCATGATTATCATTTTTTCTCCCATTACAGAGGAGAAACCAGAATAAAGAATATGCATCCTACCTGAAATGAGAAGCAGGAACTTCTGGCTTTTTCATATTACAGATAGGAGATTCACCCACCCCAGGAATGAAACAGACATTGGAATCTCCTGTGTAAGTCTTAGGGATGCTGTGAGAGAAATGATCACAAAGTTAGTAATCTGGGTTTGCTTACTCCTTTAAAACATTGCCAGTTTGGGCCAGGCGCCGTGGCTCACACCTGTAATCCCAGCACTTTGGGAGGCCGAGGTGGGCGGATCACCTGAGATCAGGCATTCAAGACCACCCTGGCCAACATGGAAAAACATTTTTAGTCTCTACTAAAAATTAGTCCGCAAAAAATTAGTCAGGCTTGGTGGCAGATGCCTGTAATCCCAGCTACTCGGGAGGCTGAGGCAGGAGAATTGCTTGAACCCAGGAGGCAGAGGTTGCAGTGAGCCGAGATCACGCCACTGCTCTCCAGCCTGGGCGACAGAGCGAGACTCCATTTCCAAAAAAAAAAAAAAAAAAAAAATTGCCAGTTTGGTATCAGAGATTCTGTGTTTTGAATGAAATAATGTATACAATTTCTGCATAAATATAGTAATGGCAGCTTTATTTCTAAAGGCAAAAAATAGAGAAAATTATGTCAAAGGATGAAGTGGATAGTATGTTAAACCATGATATCTTCAGTTGACAGAACATTAAGCAGTCATTTAAAATGTTTACTTAAACATATGGAATATGGCTAATAATATATGGAATAATATGGGAAAATGTAATAATGTTGAAAATGCTGCTGAGTACATTTCAAGTAAAAAATAGGATAAAATTTAGTTTAGGCTAATAAGAGCTTTCTCCAATCAGGAGTGATATAGAGCCTTCCTGGTCCTCTCTTCCTTTTACAATAGCCAGTAAAAAGCCTGTATTTAGGTGGTGGGATTGTGACAACATCAACAATCCAGACAATCTTCTTAAGGATTATTTGCATAGTTTACTCTTCCTAATCCAACAGAACTCAATTTCTTTTAAGGAGTGCACTGCGTGGAAGTGGTCATCTCCAACAAAAAGGGAAGAGAATTACATTAACAAAGGAGTATATGCAATGATATTGGTATCAAAATTCAGTGAGCAAAATTATTATATCTAGTCCCTCTAGAGAGTACTTTTACCTTTGAATCACTCTACTCAGTATGTTAAATCTTAAAATAGCGCACTGACAACCACTTATCCATTTGATGTTTAAATGTTTTTTTAAGTATTGCTATGGAATAGGACATAGAATTGCCTTGGATAATCTGCAAGCTTCTTACTATTGGCAAAAAGAGAAGCCTTTTATTTTTCAGACCTAATTGCTTTTACAAAAAGAAAGAAAACAAAACAAAACCCTACTCTACACTTTGTTAATCTTGGCACCTTATCCTCTATAATGAAAGCTTCAACCATTTATCAAACTAAATGAACTGGGTGTTGACAAGAGAGCAGGATTCCATAATTCTGCCCTTTATACTCCTTGTGTGTATACTTATTGGTTTAGCAAATTTGATACTACCAGAGTGCTCCCTTTCATTAGTTTAACTGGGATTTCTGTTCACAAAAAGCATTCAGCTTATTGGGATAATTCTCTTTCTCATATGGTATATGGGGGGCTTGGACAAGTTAATTATTTTTGTTTCACTTAGTTTTACTGCACATATACCATGTGTCAAGCATTTTCACGTGCATTATCTACCTTCATCCTCACAATAACCAGTGAAGATAGATAGTATTAGCCCTGGTTTATAGATGAGAAAACCGAGGGTGAAAGAGGTTAAGCTCACAAGAAGTAACCGAACTAGAATGCTTACATGAATTTTCTGACACCAAGACCAATGTTCTTCCCACTAAATCATGTTATTTCCTTGTAATTAACTAGGTGTGCCAAAACAGAATGGAAATGCTACTCCTACATAGAAAATATAATCACTTGCATTGTGTATCTGCAAACTTTTGTCTAATCTTGAATATCAAAACATAATTTGTGCCTATATTTTCCCAAAGAAACGTAGAATGATAGAATAATCTAATGCCGTAAACAAAATTTCAACCAACCAAAGTACTTTCAAGTTCTGATTTTCTTAGGTGCTCAAGAATTTGCTGCGGCTAATGAAAATTTGCCATTGGCTTCAAACTGGTGGTTATAGGTCACTCAGGTCTCTACACAGACTTCTCAGCCAAACTTCTTTGGCAGTAGCACACTTATTCCATAATATGACACTCAGTGAAAGTCA
Source organism: Homo sapiens (assembly GCF_000001405.40). Taxonomy (NCBI): domain Eukaryota; kingdom Metazoa; phylum Chordata; class Mammalia; order Primates; family Hominidae; genus Homo; species Homo sapiens. The sequence goes on from NC_000001.11 coordinate 205,225,739, forward strand.
GAAATTGGTGGGACACATTTGAACTCCTGAAGATAGAAGCATTGGAGTGAAATGTGCAACACTTCTGAAACTGGATGACATCTGTGGTTATAGCTATGGCCCTCATTCTTTGCTAGGCAATGTCCAAGTGCTTTACATATATTACCCAACACCCTGTATGGTAGGTACTGTCATTATCCCTACTTCCAAATAATTCAGAAACTGGAGCATGAAGAGGTTAGATAACGTGTCCCCACTCACATGGTCAGTGAAGAGCAGAGCTAGGATTTGTCCCCTATCTGGCCATAGAGCCTGAGCTCTTAACCATTATGCTATGATGCCTCTCCAAAATGGAATGTAAAGTATTAGCTGATTTTATGAAACACACCACAGACTTTTTTGCTGACCTGAATCACACCTTGCAAATATGACGACAAGTAGAAAATGTGGCTGTCATGCTGTATGTATATGATAATATAAAAATCAAACTTAAGACCAACTTTTATCTAGTATAGAAATGAGGCATAATTCAAAATTATAATGCTCTCTGCTTCCTTAAACGAAACCAAATCCCTTCCTTAAACCAAATCCCTTCACTTTCCTTCGGCTTCGAGTCAGGTCATGAACATGTGTCAATGCATGCTCACCATTTGCTGGCCACCGCGTGCCCCTCAAGACTTGCTCAGGGTCTTTGGGGCCGCTGCACTTATCTGGGCCAAGTCAGGCAGGGAGCAGTATATTCCTCTGCTTGAAACCTTGCACCATGGGAACCTGCCCCCACCGGTTCTGTCTAGTCCTGCCCACGGTCTACACTGGCATCCTGCCATCCCCTCACCATTGAAAATGCTAAATAAAGGCTTATAGCTTTGTGTTTCCACATTGTGCTCGATTCTTTGTGGTAGATGTGGGGGGTGGTTCCACATTCCCAGCCCATCCTAAATTCCTATCTTCTAAAAGTGGAGCTGCCTAGTTTAGAAAGTAGCTGCTTGGCTGAAGTAAATTCTTAACAAATTAGTCTCTTCTAGGATACACATTAAAATGAGTGGTTGGAATGGGAAGAAGACAGAACAGAAAGTCAAGAAACTCCGACTAGTGAGACTGAAGTGAGGCTACAATGGCATGATGGGTGCGAAAGAGATTGGTAAACTGTAAAATCCTTTAGAGACCGTGTGGCCCCTTCACTGTCTAGGCCAGTGGTTCTCAAAGGGTAGTGTGTGTCAGAATTACCTGGAGGGCTTGTCAAAACACAGATTTCTTGGCTCACTACTTCTGATTCTCTAGGTCTGGCTGGTGGCCAAGAATTTGCATTTCTATCAAGTTCCCGTGTGATGCTGAAGTTGCTAGTCCAAGGATCACAATTTGTGAACCACTGGTTGCTGGATGAGTAAAATCCATTGTGTCCACAGGAGGCATACAATAGACACTCAGATGGGGTTGTTATTATTACTACTCTCCATATCTTGGTAACCCCAACGTTTGCTCTCTTCTGCTTCCAGATTACTCAGCACAGTTTGGCTGAGATTTATGCAAAGAGAGACAGCATTCCCTTTCCACACATCTATATGTAGCAACCTCCTGCCATTAATACCCTTTCTTATTTAAAAGCTGCTTCACAGTTTGTAAGGAACTCTCACATACGTTATTGTGTTTTTATATGAAATTCTTCCCAATTTCTGAGCATAAATTATGCCAAGTAAAGTCTCATTAAGAAATAATGCACTTAAAGCGGGGGACGGGGCGATGAGGAGAGAACGCCCCCTCCCCTTGGCATTTGCAGCTCTGAATGTAGGCATAGATTTAACTCAGACCAAGTATCCTAGAGGGGATAGGTGTCTCCCTTATGGCTAGAAGGTGCAAAGTTAAGAGCCCCAAAAAGCAGTGATAATAAACATCCCTCTTGTGCTCCTTCTCGCCAAATAAAGCGAATGGGTGGAGGAAATCCTGGGCGAGCCCTCCTCGGCAGGGTCCCTCAAGCTGGAGCCGAAACTGCGACTCCCACGCCCGCCGCCCCCGCCCCTGAACTGCAGCCCGCTCTCTGCAATGCAAAAACGCAGCAGCATCGTCCTCCAGCCCTCTCCTGGGGGATCGCACGGTGCAACCAACCCCAAAAACGAAGCTGCGCGACGCCCCCTCAGCCCCGCGGGCTTCCCATTGGCCGGTTGCCGCTGTCACTCCCTCCTAGCCTCGCCTTCCCGCTCCCGGGCGGAGGCAGCCGGGCGGGGTAGGTTGCGCGCTCGCCGCGGGCTCGGGCCGCGGTCGCGGCTTTGCGGCAGGCTGCGCGTCAGGCGGGGAGCGGGGCGCGCGGGCCGGGGAGGGGGCCGGGCGCGCTGCGGGCTCCGCGGCCGGACCATGCGGGGCAGGGGCCGGTTGCAGGGCCGGGGGCTGCAGCCGGCGCCGATGGCGGCCGACTAGGACCTGCCCGGCCGGCTGCCCCGCGCCCCGCCTCGCCCCGCAGCCCGGCCGGCCGGGAGGGATGCGCTGTGCCGCCCAGCTCCTCTCCGTCCTGCCCATGCCCTGAAGCAGAAAGTTTGGGGGCCGGGGGTTGTCTCCCTTCTCCCTCCTGCAATGACTGCCCAAGGACTCTTGCTGCCCAGCCTCGACTGTGACCTGTCTTCGCTCCCCAGGTCGAAATGAACTATTCCAAGCTATAACCAAGGCTCCCCCTTCTCGCCCCTCCCTCACCCGCCTTTAAGAATTTTTTTTTTAATTCAAGAAATTGTGGTCTGCCATCTCCCCTCCTTGTTAATAATTTAGACCCCAGGCCTCATATGAATATAAGAGGGGGTGCGGTCTTCCCCAAGACGGCGCGCTGGAAGGACAGATTCCCCTTGCCGACCCACATACACCATGAAGAGGTGCAGATCGGACGAGCTGCAGCAACAACAGGGCGAGGAGGATGGAGCTGGGCTGGAAGATGCCGCTTCCCACCTGCCGGGCGCGGACCTCCGGCCTGGGGAGACCACGGGTGCTAACTCTGCTGGCGGGCCAACTTCAGACGCCGGCGCTGCCGCGGCGCCCAACCCAGGTCCCCGAAGCAAGCCTCCTGATTTAAAGGTGAGCGCAGACCATCCCCCCGGCAAGCCCAGCCCGCGACTTAGCTCTCGCCACCCCACGCAGAAGTGCTTTAACAGGATAAAAGTGAGGGGGGAAGCCAGGCAAAGGTCAGAGAGGATGAGCGGATGCTTTGCTGGCACCCCAGGGGGGACGTCAGGTACCATTTATGCCTCTGTCTTTCAGCTCCGTGTCAGGTCTCTGTGTTTGTTCCCCATTATTCAGCAAGCGTTTTAGTGACTCACCCATCCGAGATTGTTTGAATAATGTGTGAAGTGTTATTCGCAGACAAAGGGCTGGAGAAATCCAAGATGCTAACCAAAAAGTGGACAGCAGGTGACCATTAGTTTTCCTTGCTGAGTAAGTCTCTACCCATTGGGATCTTTGTGTGTGTGTGTGTGTGTGTGTGTGTGTGTGTGTGTGTGTGTGTATGTGTGTGAGACGGAGTCTCGTTCTGTCGCCCAGGCTGGAGTGCAGTGGCGCGATCTCGGCTCACTGCAACCTCCACCTCCTCGGTTCAAGCGATTCTCCTGTCTCAGCCTCCAGAGTAGCTGGGATTACAGGCACCCGCCACCACGCCCGGGTAATTTTTGTATTTTTAGTAGAGACGGGGTTTCGCCATGTTGGCCAGGCTGGTCTTGAACTGACCTCAGGTGATCTACCCGCCTCGGCCTTCCTAAGTGCTGGGATTACAGGCGTGAGCCACCGTGCCGGGCCCCATTGGGATCTTTGAGCGCTTTCCTGGATGAAGCTCAGTTTGCCGATCTGTGAAGGGGCGGGGGGGGGGGGGTGGTGGCGGGGGCGGGGGGGGAAGGTGGATTTCCTGCCGTTAGGTGGAGCCAGAGGTTAAGATAGTGCTTGGAGATCTCTGCCTGCCTGCTGAACCAACCCCCAGGGTGGAGAACTGACAGGTGGTGGAGCAGTGCTTGGGCTGGTTTGGGGCCTCAGTTCAAGTTGCATACATGCTGAGCCAGCAGCTAGAACCAGAAGCCGAAAGAACTGTTCACATGGAGCTGTTTATTTTCCGGCCTGAGGTTGCCGAGACAATTGGCGAGCTGTCTTGAATATATCTCTATCAATTAAAACAGCAGCTGAGATAAATAATGCACCTTTGCCGGAACTGCCACAGGGACTGCAGGCTCAGGCTTCTCAAGCCAGCTCACCGTCCAGCTGAGCGAGATGTCAGCCCAAGGAAGGAACTTAGATGCCTTGGAAATTGATGCCTCACAGTTATTTTCTCCAGAGAAGGTGCAGGGTCTGGGCTAGGGAAACGGAAAGGACTCTGTTGCATTTAATAAAGCCTATATCCTATGGCAGCAGCCACTAAGGAGCTCACCAGAATAAGCCAATGCCATTCCTCATTTGGCCTGAGCAGCTCAGAGTCAGGAAGTCAGAGCGCAGGTGAGTGTGTGTGCTCTTACCTGTGTATGTTACCTGTCTGTGTGCCTTGGGGAGGAGTGAAAAGGGGGACGACTAGGTTATTGTTGTGTGTGTTTTTTAAACTTTGCAGTAATTATTCAAATCTGAACTCTGGTTCTGCCGCCGTCCTTTTCAGAGCTTCGTGGCTAGACTTATGTCTAGAGGATCTCTGTGGGATAGGCTCTCTCTGCACAAGAAGCTTGAGCTTTTGCCAGGCCCAGGGAGTCCTTGGTGTTTATCTCTGCTGTCACCCCCGAGTCCATCCCATGTGGTCAGGAGGTGTAGTTCCTGTTTTAAGTGAGATGGTGAGGGGGAAGGGGTCTCTTGAATGCTGTTGTGGGGAGGAGGCTAGCCTTCTGCTGCAGACTTCAGCCTCATTCTGAGCCGGTCCAGATGAGTCTGGCCAGCAAACCCTGAATCTTTGACCAATGAGACCCTCAGCTGAGTCTGTGAGAGGCAGCTTTGGAAATTCCCCACTCTCCAACTCAGGACAGCAGTGGAAACTGCTTTCTCCATTTATTCCCCCAGTTGCCTTCATGAGGAAGATGGGTTGGTCATGGCATGGGGGCTGCAGTGTCTCTGTAGAGGGACGCCTTAAGGGATGCCACGTTTCCACTCTCCTGTATTATCTTTTTTTTCTTTCTTTCTTTCTTTTTTTTTGGCAGTGCCCTCATTCTGGTCAGGGGCAGATGTAGTAACAACTTTACACTTGATATTAACTGCCGAACTGCCCTCAACCAGAATTGAAATCAGGTGTAAGAAAAGGAGGCTTCCCCTTACCCCGCGCCCCCATCCACCCCATCCCCCCATCCCCCCCCCCGCCCCCAGAGAAAACATACCATTGAACCCAGCAATGTGGACCCAGTAAGGAGCAGAAAACCCAGCTGCAGCCTGCTTGTGGGAGCATGGGGAAACAAGCAGGGCTTTTCCTGTTTATCTCTGTCTGCTTCATCACAACATGTTTACTACCGGGTGCAAGGGACTTCCAACCAGATGTGACTTGGGGACTTTCACAGTTTGATTTGCTGTGTGGTCTTGGGCAAATCACTCAACTTTTCCGAGCCTTTTTCTGGTGAAAGGGACTAGGAATATCGGAGTGTGTCCAAACTTATTTATTTATTTATTTTGAGACAGAGTCTTGCTCTGTCACTCAGGCTAGAGTGCAGTAGCATGACCACGACTCACTGCAGTCTCAAACTCCCAGGCTCAAGTGACTCCCCAATCTCAGCCTCCCAAGTAGCTGGTACTACAGGCACACGCCACCATGCCTGGTTAATTTTTAAATTTTTTGTAGAGACAGGGTCTTGCTATATTGCCTAGGCTGGTCTTGAACTCCTGGACTCAAGCGAAACTCCTGCCTCATTCTCCCAAAAAGCTGGGATTACAGGTGTGAGCCACCGTGCCCAGCCCCTCCAAACTTGCTTTCCAGTGCTGGAAAAATTGTTTTCCAATGCTGGCACAGTTTTCCAATGATAGAAAAATTCCATTATTGACTCTGGAACTGGGTAGAAGTTGACTTGTTTTAGATTTGATGGTGGTACCACAGAAGGGTGTTTAATTTTTAATGCTCCCCTACCTCATACCTGTGTTTGGTCAAGGCAGATAAGCAGTTCTGGTTTGCTTTTGTTTTCATTTTAAACTTTGGAGATGAGAACTTTTGGTATCTTAGTTCCATTTCTGTTTTCTCATGACAGCTCCAGGCACTGTGATGAATTAAGTGCATTGGAAGAAATCATCTTGAGAAAGGGGCAAAAATAATAATAATAATAATAAAGGACTCTGTGTAAAGCACCTCCGTAGAGGTTGGGGCGGTATTGGAAGAGGAGAGAATTTTTATCTTTGCCAAAGAAATCTGAATGGTGTTTAGTGACAGTTAGTGGTTTCATGGGCTCCTATGGTCTCCCTCTGTTCCTTCAGCACTGTGGACCATCTTACTGTACACTGTAAATTTCTGCTACAGTGCCCTGGGATCTGTGATTATAGGGTGGGAAGGGCCAGTGAAAAGTAGTAGTTAAGCAGCAATTTTAAAACTGTAATTGAAAAATAACCTAAAAATGGACATTGCCTCACAGGAGGCTCATGCAGATACATTGAGGGCCTTCTCAACTGTTCCACACACCTGTGGGACCTTCGGGGAAAATCTCAGTAGACATCCTGCAACAGGAGCACAACAATTCAGTCCCATTCTTCAGCCACTTGCAGCTTGGATTCCTGTTGAAACACTCGAGTTCATGTTTCGATTCATTTGTCCTTATTGCCCAGCCTTTTGCTGCTAACAGATTCCCTGCTTGTTGGGAGGAGATGCTGGGGTTGCTAAGCCACAGAGAGTGCTGGCTGACCAAAAGTACACCACAATTCTACAGCAAGAAAACCCAGTTCCATTGCATATGGGAGGAGAGGTGGGGCTTAGGGGAATACTGCAGACAGGGAGCACACATTCCTGCTAAGAATACAGCATACGGGCCGGGAGCGGTGGGTGGCTCATGCCAGTAATCCCAGCACTTTGGTAGGCCGAGGTTGGTGGATCACTTGAGGCCAGGAGTTTGAGACCATCCTGGCCAACATGGTAAAATCCTGTCTCTACTAAAAATACAAAAATTAGCCAAGTGCAGTGGCACACACCTGTAGTCCCAGCTACTTGGGAGACTGAGGTGGGAGGATCGCCTGAGCCCAGGAGGTTGAAGCTGCAGTGAGCCATGATCATGCCATTGCACTCCAGCCTGGGCTACAGAGCAAGACCCTATCTCAAAAAAAAAAAAAAAAAAAAAAAAAACACAAAAAAACACACACACAAAAAACAACAACCGAAAAAAAAAAAAAAAACCACAACGTGTGGTAGATACTTCTGAGGCCCAGGATGAGTGGCCAAGCATAAGAGTGAGCTGGTTCTATCCTGATATGTGATGGAAGTCTGAAGGCACGGGAGGAAATTACCAACCTCCCCACCTCTCTCACAGTGGGAAGAATTGAGTCTTTCCTGAAAGGAGGTGTCTGGGGATGCTGGCCATGGGCTTTCCCCCTGGACTTCCCCTAAGGTTCTCTTTCCTCTCACAAAAGCCCCTTTAAGTAATTTCCCTGGAGATTTCTGAGCAGTATTAATATATTTCCCTGAAGAAAAAGGGGGAGCTCCAAATTCCATCATTCCCCTCCTGGTTTGAAGCACTTTTGACTCAAGACTCATTTGGGTTCCAGTTCATGTTCCAGTCACACCATACACTGGTCTTCCTGCCTACTTAGTGAAGAGCAGGAAAGATAATTCGAAGCCAGATATCTGAGAGAAAGTCACAACTGAGTCCTGTGTGGTTCTCCCTGCTGGCTCTCCGCCTTTCCTGGTGGTCACAGGCAGCTTCCTCCCACTGTGAGTGGCGTGTGTTCCTTCACCACTCCTGCAGAGAGCCCACTAGAGAAGGGTTCATGCAGTCAGCAGATACCACCTTCAGCAGGAAAGGTGCTGCTGAATTAAATTGTGAAACATGCTTATAAAAGTGCCTGAAAACATGTACGCAGTTTAAATAACAGAAGCAAAGCAGACACCTCATCTACCCAAGTCAAGGAAAAAAAAAAACTGACATTCCCGAGAAGCACCTGCTTGTTTTCTATTTGTTTATTTCTTATATATATATTTTTTCAAGGCTCAGGGTTTTGATAAAATTTATAGGTCTCAGTTTCTCCTTTTTTTTTTAAAGGGTAGTCAAATGAAGCAGTGAGAGTGGAGAGTTTCTTCATTTTTTAAATGAAGGAGAAGACAAGCTACTTCATAAGAACGTAGGTGGAATGAAGATATGTACGTTCCCTGGGGCTCTCCAGGAGTGTTGTGATGGTTGCGATGGCTCTCTGAGGGCCTGCTGCATCTTGAGGCCCAGTAGATATGTTAAGGCTTGAAGATTCCTGCAATCTCAGGTGGGAGCCGGACGCCTGGGATAAGTTTTATCAGAGGAGGTAGAATTGAAGTATACCTAAAAACAAGGACATGGGAGGCCAGGCGTGGTGGCTCACACCTGTAATCCTAGCACTTTGGGAGGCCGAGATGGGTGGATCATGAGGTCAGGAGATCAAGACCATCCTGGCTAACACAGTGAAACCCCATCTCTACCAAAAATACAGAAAAATTAGCCAGGCATGGTGGCGGGCACCTGTAGTCCCAGCTACTCTGGAGGCTGAGGCAGGAGAATTGCTTGAACCTGGGAGGCGGAGGTTGCAGTGAGCCGAGATCGTGCCACTGCACTCCAGCCTGGGCGACAGAGCGAGACTCTGTCTCAAAAATAAAAAACAAAACAAACAAACAAAAAGGAAATGGGAAATTAGTTATTTGGCCTCACCTCCAGCTGATCTCCAGGTCAAATAGGATGAAATACTTCTAAGAAAACCATCATGGAAATACATAGAAGTTAAAGGGTACTTAGAGCATCATGCAGTGCAATCAGAAACTTATGGGGGTTAATCAGGAAAGTTGTTCTGCAAGAGGTGGGTTTAGAGCAAGATTTTTTTTTTTGAGATGGAATCTCATTCTGTCTCAGGCTGGAGTGCAGTGGCGCAATCTTGGCTCACTGCAGCTTCTGCCTCCCGGGTTCAAGCGGTTCTCCTGTCTCAACCTCCCGAGTAGCTGGGACTATAGGCATGCACCACCAGACCGGGCTAATTTTCTATTTTGAGTAGAGATGGGGTTTCATCATGTTTGCCAGGCTGGTCTGAAACTCCTGACCTCAGGTGATCCACTCTCCTCGGCCTCCCAAAGTGCTGGGATTATAAGCGTGAGCCACTGCGCACGGCCTAGAGCAAGATTTTAAAGAAGGGGTGGGACATTTATTACCAAACAAGAGAAGAGGGGCTTTCTAAATGGGGGAAGTGAGGTAGCAAGTGCTTTTGTAGGGTCTTTGCCCTGTTTGACTAGAATGATCAGGAACAATGGAGGGTAGTGCAAATGCTGAAGTTAACTGTTTTGTCCCGCTTGCACCTTATATGAAGCAGGCAGAGGGTTGGAAGGCCCAGGATTGCCTCCCCCCCACCCCCTCCAGCCTAGGTAATATTCAGAGCAGCCCTCTATGTGGGCTCTGGGGGAACTGGTGACCGATGGGAAAGCATGTGGCAAACGAAACTCCCTGTTCTCCTGCCACATATTGAGTTCTAGATTAATTCCCAGCTGCCCTAGTTGTTCTAGTGGGAACTGTCTGGCAGGCTCAGTATTTACAGAATGTGCTTCTTTTTGTGTATCTAATTATGTCTTCACTGCCAATCCCATTAACAAGAATCTCCTTCAGCAAGGAGTTGAAATATCTGATAGGACCTAAATTTTGGGCTGAAGTTTTCAAAGTGTGGGGTTATCAGGAGCTGGGGAAAAGGGCTCAGGCAGCTTCTCAGTGGTGGTCTTAAAGGCCAACTCAGAACTCATTTCTGTTTTCATCTCTCCCTTAAGAAATGGCATCTGCCTTTGAAATCCCCATAGACTACTAGCATGCTACATTTTTGGAATGAGGCCATAGCTGGACAGGGTCCACCTTTGTCAGCCAAACACTTAAGTCTCTCTTCGTGTAAGAAGTTAGAACAAAGCTGTTGGGGGATAACAGGTATGTTTTGTGACTGTGCTAGAAAAACAGTTATTTGGCTGGGCGCGGTGGCTCACGCCTGTAATCCCAGCACTTTGGGAGGCCGAGGCAGGGGGGTCACGAGGTCAGGAGTTCGAGACCAGCCTGGCCAGCATGGTGAAACCCCGTCTCTACTAAAAATACAAAAAATTAGCCAGGCATGGTGGTGTGCCCGTATAGTCCTAGCTGCTCGGGAGGCTGAGGCAGGAGATTTGCTTGAACCCGGCAGGCAAAGGTTGCAGTGAACGGAGATCACGCCATTACACTCCAGCCTAGGCGACACAGCAGGACTCTGTCTCAAAAAAAAAAAAAAAAAAAGAACAGTTATTTTTAAACCAAATGACTAAAGGCTTCCTTATTCCAGCCAGGTTAACTGAGTGATGTCCACCAGGGAAAACAAATCTGGCTGTAAGGACATGAGCCCCCTCCCAAGCCCTCCCTAAGCCATTTGTGAAGACATCACATACATTCTGGCTCCTTGGTCTGTGTTCATCTCCTTCCAAGCCAACTCAATCTTGGCGGTTACTAAGATAATAGAGTGAGAAGAGGGTTTAAACTGCAGCAGGAGAAATCTGAGTTAGACACAAGAAAAGGCTGTTGGAGCATTTGAAATCTTTGTGAAAGGTTATGTCTTTGGAAAAGGTAGTCATCTAAGGATTAAAATCACCTTTGTAAGATGGATTTGTAGAGACTTGGATAGTGGCTGCTCAGAAAATAAATGAACAAATAATTTACCTAGCTGTCTTCCATGTTGGTGTTGAGGCCTCTGCCAGGTAATGTTAGGGACACAGAGATGTAGGAGCTGTAGCTCCTGCTGTCCAGTCACTCATATTGTCATCAAGGGTTCCATCCGTCAGCAGGTGAGAAGTTGGATAACAGTCAGACAAAGCACTAGAAGCGATGTCACAAGGCAGTACACGATTAATTGCAAAATGAGTGGTGCAGATAATGAGCGCTTATGTGTTCAGAGCAGGGCGAGATCGCTGCAGACTGGTGTGATCAGAGAGGGCTTTATGGAGTGGCGAGGTGGTGAAGGATGGGTAGGATGCAAAGAGGCAGAGAGAGGGCACGCCATGCTGGGAACTTTAATAAAAGTCTTCTATGTTGGTGTGTGCTGAATCAGTTCTGCCTAAAGACATGGTGGATGAGGTGACCTTTTCCCACTTGCTTTGGCTCCAGGCTGAATTCTCTAAGCAATAAAGGAAAGAGGAATCAAAATAAAATTGAGAATGGGGGAATTTTTTGCCCGTGTGCCCATGAGTTGAGTTTTTTTTTTAAAATTTCATCTGTGAGGCTGGGGAATAAATAAATGATTCCAAAAATCTTTCATCACTGGGTTTCCAGTAGAAACTCCAAGTGGGCCTGAACAGTTGCAGCTGCCTACTGTACACCACTGTGATCATCAGCGCCAAACCTGGGGTAATGGTTCCTCTCCTGCTCCCACTCAGGCTCCCCACCCAGAGCTTCTTAAGGGCAATTGGAGACTTCTTCAATCCACTTTGGATCCTAAGAGTAGAACTCTGTGGGTTTTTACAGTGATTAGTTCTCTAATGCTGGCCCTGTTTCCATAGAGACCCTATAAATAGAGGAATGTTGGCGACCTAGGCTGGCAAAGGCTCAGGGTGACCCAGTCACCCCACTGAACCCTCACAGCCAAACTGTTGGTAGGGCGGAAGGAGTTTCAAACCCAGGTAGGAGGAAGGGCTATGCAGTCAGCTGCCAGGTGGGATAATTAGCTATAGATTAGTGTGACTTTAAGCTTTCCTGGGATTTGTTGAGAACACACGTACCTGTAAAAATTAGAAACCACTTTTGGTCATTTTTAACCAGATGGTGCCAATGACACTGTACCCCAAGGCATTTTAGTTTTGTATTCATGCAGCTGTGTTTGCAGATTTTGGAGCAAACTTCCCCTTTGGGGGACCCACACCCAGGGAGAAAGACGGATGAAGCCCAACTGTTCAGAAACCACAGCCTTCTCAGGAAGGATCTTTCAGAAGCCATCTAGTCCTCCCTTTTTTCCTGAAAGGACAGTGCCACCCAAGGAGATGGGGCTCTTCCTGCCCTTTCAGATAGTTCCAGGGGAGGGACAGCCAACTCCCCTCACTTCCTTCCCCGGGGCACCTCACCCTGGGAGGCTCTCCTTTCTGACTACCTTATGGCCAGTTCTGGGGACGGCACTTCTTGCTTCGGTCTTACAGATCATGAAAGCCCTGTTTGTTTGCCACCTCTAACTCTGAAGCATCTCAGCTCTCTAATGCATGGCTTCATTTGGCCACCAAAATGGTTTCTGGCAGCCAGGGAAAAGCAAAAGTCAATGTGGAAAAGCAAGTGACATTTTAGGAGCTGGAACCTGTTAGTCAGAGCAGGTGGTGCTTTCTGCTGCGTTGGCGGCTAAGTTCCCTTAAGCTAGTCACCATGGTTTTCCTCACTTCTGAAACTTGTAGCTGGTTATGTGTATGTGCTGAGTTTTTTTTTTTTAAAACACTTACTGTGTTATGTCAAAACTCCTTAACCATCTCCTCCCTGACACCCACATGCAGAAGCGGCCCAGCCCTTGCGTCACTTTGCTGTTCCCGCCTCGCACCTTATCAGTGAGGAAAAACCCCTTCATTTGGAGTAATCTCCTCTCTCTGCACCTTGTTCTTTGACTTCCTTTTTGTTATTTCCCTCCTGCCTGCCTCAGACTTTAATAGATTCCTCGGTCTGCTGGGACAAAGGTCCTGGGGTCTCCTGGTCACTTTCCCTAGGTTTCCTTCAGCTGCAGGACAGCTCAGGGAGGTGGGAAGTAAAGACTTTATAGTTGAGGGTCTTGTCCCATAACATGGGATGGGCAGGTCACAACAGCAGTTCAGGGGACCTAACAACCCTTGACCCAGGCATTTTTGTTTGGCGCCTGCCTCTGATACTATTCTGGGACACATGCAAATACCCTATCTACTTTAAATCTTAAGTCTTGAAATCAGTGTATGGGCCCATGAAGGTAAATTCAATTAGAAGTCGGGGGTTTCTCTGTGTGGCTTGGATGAGCCACTTAGCTATGCTGTGCCTCCGTTTCTTCATCTGCAAAATAGACACTGATGCTGTGACATCTCACATTCCTAGCTCCTGAGATTAGGCTAGTGTCAGATTATAATGACAGTATAAATCGGAACGCACTTTGCAAAATGCTGTTGTATAAATTTTAAAAGTAAATTGACCAAGGATTTTAGGCTCCAAGGCAATATGGCAGACATCGGTGGCCACCGTAGCTCTCCCCAGCACCTCCACCAGCCTCCCGGGGATAGGGGAGAGGAAATGCCTCAGAACTCTAGGACCTCTGCTGAAGTCTTTAGAAGGGAAACTCTTTCTGCCTGAGTGGATCCTCAGTGTTGGAGAAGCCAGTTTAGGAATGGGGGGAGAAGAGGAAGGGACCTGGAATAGAACGCTAGAAAGACAATTCGTATTATGGAATGTGACGATTTGGCAGAGGCAGCTGGGCAAATGCCAGAGCCAGCTGGCCCCATCACAGTGTCTGGAGGGAGGTCTCACATCAGCTTGGGCCTGGGGAAGGGGGAGGTGTCCTGGCAGGTCCCTGGTCTGAAGGCTGCAGGATCTGGCCTGTTCCAAGTCCATGGCAGAGTTGACATCTTGGTTCTCCCCAGCACAGATTCAGGTGAGCCTTGTGACCCTGCCTCAAGCTGGCCCCCAGGGGATGGTAACTCCTGTGGGAAAAGCTGGCATTGTGTAACTTAAGATCTCGAGGGCTGCCCCAGAATTCAGTTCTTGAGAAGGAATCATGGTAGCCTTAATTTCCTCTTCTCTAAATGGAGATGTTTCCGTTGTTGCTTTTGTTACTATTTAGGAGAATCAATGGGATAATGCAGGATACAAATCTCCTTTGAAATGAAAAACCGTTAGTTCGTGATGAGTTGTGATGATGTAATTTATCTGGTCTGTAAAATGGGTGATGTAAGGGCCTCATCTACTTTAAGGATTCTGGGGATACTCAAATGAGGTGAAAAATGAAAATCCTAAAATTTTACACAAATACATAATAGTACAGTTATTGTATCCAGCTGTAAGCGCAGCCATCTGCACAAACTCAAGGCTGAGTTGTAAAGTAACCTAAGAGTGGGGTCAGCTCATTTAGAGGATGTCAGGTTGCTTTTTCTTGGTTTCTATATGGTCTAGATTTTCTGCTCTGTAAGTTTGTTTCTAGGGAAAAAAAAAAAGAAAATCCAGTCTGTGTAATTTTTTGGAACATTTTTTAAATGACTGAGGCAGCCTGGTAAGATTGTGGGTTGTTCCTCACAGGAAATCCTGCTATGGCTCATTGAGTCCCAAATGGCTGGGCCCTGAGTTTTCCTCTAAGGAGCTGCAGAATGTGAGGTGTCTCCTGGTCCTCCAAGTCTCACCCCTCCTTCCAACAGCTCCAAAGCTCTCATAGAGGGCTCAACCTGGCCGGATAAGCCGTCCCCTGACAGAAGCAGCTGTCTGGAATTATACCACAGTTGCTCGCCCTGGCAGGCCATCCAGCTGCCCCTCTGTGAGCAGTCTTGCCGGAAGAGCAGCTGGAGAATCTCAGCAACAGGGCTAAGAGGAAAGGCTGTGGCCTGGGCGGCACCGGGTTGCAGTGCCTCTATGCTTTGGATCTAAGGGGAAAGACACTCATTTGGATAGCTTGTTCTGATGTGTATGCTAAAGAATTGGTCACATTACTATGTCACAAGGTTTGCTCATAGAAGTAAAGTTTATTTCATTGCCAACCATATCAGGAATGAAATTGGTTGCAAATAACAGAAAATCATACTAGAGTTGTGTAGACAAAGATGGGTTTATTTCATGCAACAAGAATCCCAGGATAGATGTTCACAACTGGTTTGGTGGCTCCATAGACCTTCAAGTTCCCAGGCCTGTCCCTTGGGCTCCACCATCTGTGTGCAGACCCTCATCGTCAACCATGTCATCTTGTGGTTGCAGAATGGCCACTGCATCTCCAGGCACTACGTTCCCATTCCAGATGGGAAGATTTGGGAAGGGCCAGTGCCTTTATCAGGAAAGCAAAAGTGCTCCCAGAAGCTCTCACCTTGCTTTTCGTTGGCCCAAACTGTGTCATGTGGCTACTCCTAGCTGCAAGGGGAGTCTGATGAAGCAGGAATTTTTAGCAAGGTGAGTTAAGTCCTTGCAGTTTGGTTGGTAAGAAAGAAAAATAGATATTGGGTAGGCAATTAGCAGTGTCTGCTACAACAGTATAACTTGATTGTATGACCCTGATTTTACTGGGGGAATGTTGGAATTAGGCAACTTTGGAAATCGATGCTTGGTGGCCTGAAAGAACTAGTACAGCTTGAAGGGTCGTCTAACTTGGAAGGAGGGAAGGACTGGGGGTGGGGATCAATCTAGAGGGATACAACCCCATGAGCCAAGTGCTACCTGTGTATGCCATTAAGCCCCAGACTGAAGCCCTGAGAGCATCATTCCTAGAAACTCTGAACCTTCATTTTGATTAGGAATGTCCCGTGGAAAACCGTGGGGGCACACTTCTTTCGGAATGAAAGGATGGGTCTGGGTTGCCACCTTTTCGCAAACTGACCCTTTATGCACGACGGGCCATCCACAGAGATCTTCCAGGTTCAGATGGCTGCATTAGCTATGCCAGTCTACCAAGGACAGACCCTTCACCTTCACCCTCCTACTGACTAGGCAATCAAGAGCTTTCCACTCACCAGGGTTCTTCATCTCTCCCCCTTAAGAAAATCCAGCAGCTGTCAGAGGGCTCCATGTTTGGCCACGGTCTGAAGCACCTGTTCCACAGCCGCCGTCGGTCTCGGGAAAGGGAGCACCAGACGTCTCAGGATTCCCAGCAGCATCAGCAGCAGCAGGGTATGTCCGACCATGACTCCCCAGATGAGAAGGAGCGCTCTCCGGAGATGCATCGCGTCTCCTACGCCATGTCCCTGCACGACCTGCCCGCCCGGCCCACCGCCTTCAACCGCGTGCTGCAGCAGATCCGCTCCCGGCCCTCCATCAAGCGGGGCGCCAGCCTGCACAGCAGCAGTGGGGGCGGCAGCAGCGGGAGCAGCAGCCGGCGCACCAAGAGTAGCTCCCTGGAGCCCCAGCGTGGCAGCCCTCACCTGCTGCGCAAGGCCCCCCAGGACAGCAGCCTGGCCGCCATCCTGCACCAGCACCAGTGCCGTCCCCGCTCTTCCTCCACCACCGACACTGCTCTGCTGCTGGCCGACGGCAGCAACGTGTACCTCCTGGCTGAGGAGGCCGAAGGCATCGGGGACAAGGTGAGATGGGCCTTCTGGGGCAGGGGGAGACTCAGAGGCAAGGGCCATCCGCTGAGGGGCCTTGAGACCTGGGGAGCTGAGCCAGGGGCCCTCCCTGGCAGATACTGACACCCCACCGTCTGCAGAGTTATCTACCTTGGTTAAAGGAGTCGGGTATGACTAGGCCAAAAACAAGAGATGATTCCCAGGATGGCTAATTTTTGTTTCCTTAGGGCTGTTTTTCAAAATTGTGTTTTGCTCATGCTGATATTAATGTTGACTTGTTTTCCTTAAATGGGCTATCAAGAGGCAATAGGTATAGTAGTTTAAAGCACAGACTGGAAGCAACTCTGGTTCTGCCACTTACTCAGTTAACCTCTTTGTGCTTGTTTCACCAATTGAAAATGAGGATAATAATAGTACAGTTGTAGGACTAAATGAGTTAATATATGTAAAATACTTGGAATAGAGCCTGGCATAGTATCATCTTTACTATTGGCACCAACCAAAGAAGATAGGGGATCCATGAAGGGTGATTTGGGAAGGAGAAAAGCTAGTTTAGCACTTCATGAATTTATATATTCGTTCTTTTATTCGTGTAACAAGTATCTATTGAATTCTTATGTTGTGCTACAAGAATGAACAAGCCAGTGTTGCTGTCCTTGTGGAGCTCACTCTAGAGGGGGTACAAGTGGGTGAATGGACAGAGAGATGGGAGCTGCTGTGGGAGCTTCAAGGGAGAGGGGACTTGAGGAGAGAGCGAGGAGCTGGCAAAGACCTGTTTGAGGAAACCATTGAGCTGAATCTTGAATAATTTAGCCAGGGAAGAACTGGGAGAGGGGAAGGGGGAAGAGAGGGCATAGTATGTACAAAAGCACACAAGCTGGTGCTAGGGGCTACTGGGGGTTCATTATGGCCAGAGCATCTAGCACTTTTGGGGATTGACAGGTAGGCAGAGGCCACATCACAAAAGGCCTTGCCATGTTGATTCTGGGAGTAGTGTGAAGCTATCAAAGGGTGCTAGGCAGGAAACTGGCAGGACGAGGTTCCTCTAGGTCTCAATAT
Organism: Homo sapiens; assembly: GCF_000001405.40. Lineage (NCBI taxonomy): Eukaryota > Metazoa > Chordata > Mammalia > Primates > Hominidae > Homo > Homo sapiens. The sequence continues at coordinate 205,243,089 of NC_000001.11, forward strand.
AAAGAGTAGATTGGGGCCAGGCACATGGCTCACACCTGTAATCCCAGAACTCTGGGAGGCCGAGGTGGGTGGATCACTTGAGGGCAGGAGTTCAAGATCACTCTGGCCTACATGGTGAAACCCCGTCCCTACTAAAAGTACAAAAATTAGCCAGGCATGGTGGTGGGCGACTGTAATCCCAGCTCCTCAGGAGGCTGAGGCAGGAGAATTGCTTGAACCTGGGAGGCGGAGGTTGTAGTGAGCCAAGATCGAGCCACTGCACTCCAGCCTGGGAGACAGAGCGAGACTTCGTCTCAAAAAAAAAGAAAAAACCAACAAAAAAAATCAGTAGATTGGGAAGGGAGTGCAGGACGGGAGTCAAGGAGACTTTGGAGCTAGTGCAGTAGTCTAGGCTGCAGCAGTGGGGATGGAAAGAAGGCGCCAAGTGCAGAAAACATTTGGAAGTGAAAGTCAGAAGTAGTAGGTGAGAAAGTGAATAGGAGGCAAAGGAAAGGGAGGCGTAGAGGATGATTCTAAGGTTATGGGCTTAGTGGCTTTAAAAATGGGGGAATTCTCTAGTTGAGGAATCACAGGAGAAGGAGCATGTTTTGGGGGGAAGGTGATGAGTTCAGTTTTGGACCTGTTGAGTTGCAAGTGCCTTTGGGAGCTGTCCAGCTAGGGAGGACCAGCTGGCAATTGGGTCTGTGGGGTAGGGGCCTGGGCCAGGGCCAGTGCTCTGGGAGCTGGCGCTGAGGTTGAAATCATGGGTGTGGGTGTGATCTTCAAAGGAGGATGTGTCGAATGAGAAGGAGGCTGTGGACAGACCCAGCTGACATGTAAGTGACAGGCCAAGCACCAGGAGCCCGAGAGAGAGCAGTCAGATGGATAGAAGTAAACTTGCAGCAAAGCAAAAGGAAAATGAGCTTGAAGGAGGAGGAAGTAATCAGAGTGAAATGCATAGAAGGGGCAGGTCACATCTGGGTTTGGAAATGTGCACAGGCAGTAGCAAGCAGTGGCTGTCATTGGGAACCATGGCCTGAAGCCAGTTTCTGTGGATTAAGGAGAGGGTGGAAGTGAAGGCAGGTGTGTAGCTTGGCTGGGAAGAAGGAGGGTATCAGGTGGAGGCAGTCTGGTTTTGTTGGTTTTTTTAAGTTGGGAAGCACCTGAGCCCACCTCCATGCTGGCTGGAGAGGTCCCTATTAGGCAGAGATCGAAGATAGCAGTGAGGAAGGGGAATTCTCACTGGGGTGAGGTCAGTGAGTAGGTGAAAGGGTGTGAGATCCAGAAGTCAGCATCGTCCTTGGTCACAAAGAGTCACCTCTGGGAGGCAGAAATGAATTCTTACTTTGTTTTTATTTTCTATGGGGGAAGAAACCAAAGGTGCAAGTGTTTATTGAGAGCAGGAGGGGAGGTGGGAAGGGCTGGCTTGAGGAGGGCAGTAAAGCTTTGGCTTGGGGCAGAGCAAGGCTCTGAGCAGGAACTCACGGGTGACCTGTCTGGTGTTGTAGAGGCTGGTAATTTGTGCTGGCAGCACCCTAGTGGTTGCGATTTGTTTTCTCTCTAGTGGTCCTAGCCAGAGGGTAGGAACAGAGCTGAACGATTATCAGGCTAATCCAGGGTTGGGGGTTGCTGGGAGGGCATGTAAGGGTGACAAAGGAGTTGGGGGTTTGTTTGGGTCAGAGAATGCTCAAAAGGTTGGACCTTGAAACCTCGGCTAGCAGAGAAGGAGGTGGGGATAGGAGAAGGCTGATGAATGTGGAGAAAAGGAGATGGGGGTACTGAGGGAATGAGGGAGCAGGTACATTAAGAATAAAGAGGAGTGAGAGAGACAGGAGAGGGCATTGGAGTTTACAATTTGGGGGGTGGGATAGGGAAGACAAAGGTCAGAGTATACTCATAGAGCATGACAGACAAGGAATGAATGGAAAGATAATTTGCAGTGGCAAGAGCTGAGAGGCTAGGTTGTGGGATGGGCTGTCCACATGACATGGAGATGCCCCCTTGGACAGTGGTCAGGAAGGAGGGCAGCAGGTCTCTTTGATGACTGGAGGGTGGGGGAGAAGAGTGCAATGGCAGGGACCTCGAAGGCCAGGCTGAAGCAACACTGAGTACAGTAGAATGCTGGTCCCGTCTCCAGAGGGCACAAAATGAGGGAGGAAGAGGAAGAAAAAATCACTGCGATTAATGAGGGCTCCGGGGCAAGTGGAGCTGCAGTAAGAGCCTGCAGGGGCCCAAGTGCTAGACTATGGGCAGGAGGCAGCTTGTTTGTTGTGGAAGGAGGACTCTGGAAGGTCCAGTGGGAGGGCGGATGAAAGAGAAGACAGTTCAAGTGGAAGTGAGAGGAGACATGATGGAAGACCAAACAGTTCTACATTTGGGGGATGTGAGGCCCCGTGGATTTTCCAGCGTCAGAGTTCCAAGGGAAACTCAGATATAAAGTTGTTTTTACCTTAGATGATCACCAGAGCAGATCCATCTCCACGTACAGTTTTAAATTGTCCTCTCATCAACACAGACTGTTTCTCAAGTTCTTGTGCATGTTTACATTTGAAAATGTTTGGATGTTCATTCATTCAACAAGCATTTGTGTGTATGCCGTGTGCCTGGCACTGTATAGCAGCTCAGGTTTGGTTTTGCACTTTTCTAACGTAGAAAGTGCTTTTGTAGACATCATTTCATGAATTCATTAAAGCAATCCTGTGAGATAGCTAAGCCAGCTGAAGATATCCCAATTTTTTTTTTTTTTTTTGAGAGAGTCTTACTTTGTCATCCATCTCGGCTCACTGCAACCTCCACCTCCTGGGTTCAAGTGATTCTCCTGCCTCAGCCTCCCGAGTAGCTGGGATTACAGGCACTCACCACCTCGCCCGGCTAATTTTTGTATTTTTAGTAGAGATGGGGTTTCACCATGTTGGCCAGGCTGGTCTCAAACTCCTGACCTCAGGTGATCTGGCTTTCCTCAGCCTCCCGAAGTGCTGTGAACGGGGCGTGAGCAGGGCATCTGGTTCAGAAGCTGTTGAACTACTCTGGGGGTGGGGCGGAGTACCTGTATTCTGGATTGGTTTCAAAGATCAAGCCACAAAGGTTTCTGATGATTCTATGTGGGCATGACAGAAAGAGAGAAGTCAAATGTGGTTCACAGATTTGCGGCCTGGCAGCCAGAAAGAAGAAATGGTCAATAACTGAGTCAAGGAAGATGGCAAATAGAATGAGTACCTGGCAAGGGGTGTGAGGTGGGGGCGGGGGGTGGGGGCAGAAATCAGAGCTAGGTTTGGGGTACCTTCAGTTTGAAGTGGCTATTAAACATCCACGTGGAAATGCCAAATAAGCAGTCAGCTGTACGAGTCTGGAGTTCTGGGGAGAGATCCAAGCTAGAGGCATAAATTTGGGAGTTGTCAGCATATAGATAGTATTTAAAATGATGGGACTGAACCATTTGCAAGCCTAGCCTCCACTGGGGAGAAGTCTGTTCTCAGAGTGAGGAGCTCTGCACGCGTTGGCTAAAAGGGTGGCGTGGCTTTGTGAAATTGAGAGCTGGAGGAGCCCAGCAGAATGAACCAGGTTGTTCAGCCCTTAATGAGCAGACACTCTGCATGTAGAGGCAGCCAGGCCCACCTCTCATGGGTGAGTCAATGAATACATTTTAAAAATCAAATTAGAAAAATCCTGTCAAGCAGGAGTCTCTGGTATGCAGCTATTTTATGAGGAGGGAAAACGTGAACCTTGCTGTCTTTGGTTGCCTAGGGCTCCCATGAAGACCTCCTGAGCAGGGGGAAGACGTTGGGGTGGGCAGTGGGCACTGTCGGAAGCTGGTGAAGGACTGTGGATGTTTGCAGGGGCCTGGGGGAAGTGGGGCAGGCTCATTAGCTGGGGAGCTTCTCTGTGGGGCTCTGCCATGTGGCTCACTGTGCCCAAGATATCCAGATGGGAGGGAGGAACTCTTTTTTTGCTGCTTATGGAAGACGAGACCCAGACACTTTGGGTGACCTGATGAGGGGACGGTTCCCTGGGTTCAGGGTGATCATGGGGGAAATGGTTGTTCTTGTGACTATTTTATATCCTTCTTTAGAACCCTCAGCTTTGTTAGGTGTATGGCCTGGTTGATCTTTATAACATACCTGTGAAGTTGGCAGAGCAGGTGTTATCTCCATTTTACAGATGAGTAGACTAAGGCCTAGAGGAAAAGAGACTGCTTGCCTATGGCACCCAGCTAGGTCTTGGCAGGGAGACAAGGGATCCTAGTCTGTACCCAAGACTCATCTGAGAGGTGACGTCACTGAACCCGGCTGGGGACCATTTTATGCAAAGTCTATGGAGAGCAGGTTTGCCTCAGCCCGAGTGGGATGATTTTATCTCTTGGTTGCCATTTCCCCTTCAGTTGCATAGATTTCCTGACCTGGAGCTGTCCTTCCAGGAATGGGCGTGGCCCTGGGGGTCCTGAGGAGAGAAAGGTTGCTTCCCTGTCACAGAGGAAAAAGGTCTTCCAGCCATCGGTAAACCCTGCTCTGTCAGCTGACTCCCCCAGACCCAGAGGCCCTGGGCTGGTGTGAGAAGCAGTAGTGGTTCTGCCCTGATCTCTGGGCATGAATAGGAGGTATTCTTCTCTCCCTAGTAAACACAGCCCCACATGCTCTCTGCAAGATCCCTGGCGGTTACTAGCATCTATTTTTAATTCATAAGCCTCCCCCACTCCCCCACACCCCCTGCCATTGTTTAGAACTCACCAGCTGGCTTTCGGACCAGAGCAGCCCTGGCAGGGTTGAGTCCAGCCCTGGCGGGGTTGAGTTACCGAAACACCCTGGAGGCAGCTAAATTTCCTCAGCTGTCCTGGAGAGGCTCACCCCAGCCCCACCCCAAGAAAGTAGGAGACCTCAAGCCCCAAAGGGAGCAGGGTGTGACGGGGGACAGATAGGGGCTCACGGTCCAGGGAAGCAGCTCAGCCTTGGTGATGGTAATTTGGCTGTTGGTTATTCCTGCTAGATCCACTTAGTTGTCTTTGAGGTTGTGCCTTCAATTACTTCCCTGTTTAAAAACAAAAACAAAAACAAAACATTCTTGGCTGGGCAAGGTGGCTCCTGCCTGTAATCCTAGCACTTTGGGAGGCTGATTTGCGTGGATCAGTTGAGCCTAGGAGTTTGAGACCAGCCTGGGCAACATGGTGAGACCCTGTCTCTACAAAAAGAATTTAAAAATTAGCCGGGTGTGGTAGCGTGCACCTGTAGTCCTAGCTGCTTGGGAGGCTGAGGTGGGAGGATCACTTGAGCCCACGAGGTTGAAGCTGCAGTCAGGCGTGATTGCACCACTGCACTCCAGCCTGGGTGACAGATTGAGACCCCATCTCCATTTTAAAAAAATCGTCATCTCAGCCTCGCCATTCTGCTTTCTAGTATGTATGCGACACAGAAAAGTAACTGCTCTCTATGTCTTAGATTTGTAAAGTGGGGAAAAAGTTGTCATCAATTGTGGGTGCACTTGGGCATTGGCAGGTGATTAGAGAATGCAGGTTTTCCATCCATGTGTTGCCTTAACCTCTGGGAGGCACAAGCCCCGGGGACTAGAAAGGGAACCACTGGTTATACGTCCAGTGGAGATGGCCTTGGGCCACCTGGCTCCTCAGAAAACAGATGAGGTCCCCACCCTCTTCTCCCTCTTCTTTTTTTTTTTTAACAGCAGTTCCTGGAAAACCTAGGGTCAGAGGGTTGTATTTCTCCTTCTCTCATCTCTCCCAGGCCTGGTTAGGCATCAATCCCTTCTCTCCTTGTTCAGAACCTCTCCCCAGCTGATCCCTGGGCTTGTGCATGGAGTGTCAGGAAGGGGACGCAGCACAGGAGTGCTGGATTTACAGCCAGCCAGCCCCTGACTGTGTCCTGCTCACCCCTTCCCCTCCTGCAGTGTGGCTGAGAAGCAGCACGGGGCAGAGCTGGGAGGGCTTCTGGACAGCTTCAGGAGACTCTGTGGAGGTGCTGGGGACAGGAGGACTCTTATGACAGGCCCCACTTTGAGAGCAGGCAGGAAGGAAGAGAGGGCCAAGATCTCCCCAGTCGTGCTGCAGGTGAAGTGAGGAGGGTGGAGAGATGACAACGTCCTGACTGGATGCTTCCCTGTGGCCTCATGGTGTTATCTCCAGGCTCCAGACAGGGAAACCAGTGGAGTTCAGCCCATCACCTAAGCGAGAGCAGACTCTGAATGCCCTGTGCTCTCCGTCCACTCCCACACCAGATTTATCCAACAAGATTTCTTCTCTGCCCCAGCATAAATAAGCACCCCTGTTTACTCTGAAGGATGGTGAGTGAGGGGCCCCCCCAACCCCTGGCTCTTGCCAAGAAGACAGATCTTGGCAGCTGCCCAGGGGCCTTGGTTTGTTTATGTCTGGGAGTCTGCTGGTTCAGAGGTGGGTGGGGCGGGCTCTGCTGAGAGAGGTTTCCAAACATGACCGCTCAGCCAGCCGGCCGTGGGGGCCCCTGGTATAACTGAACTTGTAGGCCAGGTTGCATGGGAGGCTGAAGGGGCCCAGACGGGCCACTCTGCCTGTTCACACGAATGCATCCACCTTCTGAGCACACCACCACGCAGGTACATGCGCCAGCCTCTGCCGGCCTGCCCTTCCTCACACCCAGGAGTGGTGGAGGGCAACTGCCTCCTCTGTTCCCCTCCTCCATCCCATCTCATCTCTTCTGCCCTTCTTTCTTCCTCTCTGCATGGAAAGGTCCCTTGGGCAGAGGGAGAGCCAGAGGCAGCCAGACCAGCAGCCTCAGAGGAGCCTTTCAAGGCCGTGCCTGTGCTGCCAGTGGCTCGCCAGGCCAGGGCAGGGCAGCTGTGTGATTTGCCATGAATTGCTGCTCCCTGTCTCAGTGACTCAAAGCCCCTATTACCCAGAGGCCTTGGGGTCCCAGCACAGCTGTATATCCTCTTGTGCCTGGAGATCCGAGAAGTTTCTTCCTTTAGTCTGATTTGAATTCCTCATGTTCAGGTGAAGCCCTTGCCTTGTAGGGGTCCTGTCTGATTAGGAGAGGGGCCCATAGTGAGGACTCTGTTTCTGACCTAAAGCTCTGACACCAGAGATCATAAGCTGCAGCGTCCTCTTGACTTTTCAGACAGAATCAGCCACCAGGTAACTGGCCTCCAGAATTAGCCTTTATGCATCTTTTCCCCACTAACACCCACTGACTTTCTTTCTAGATTGAAAATATCGGCCGGGCACGGTGGCTCGTGCCTGTAATCCCAGCACTTTGGGAGGCCGAGGTGGGTGTATCACCTGAGGTCAGGCGTCCGAGACCACCCTGGCCAACATGAGGAAACCCCGTCTCTACTAAAAATACAAAAACTAGCCGGGCGTGGTGGTGGGCGTCTGTAATCCCAGCTACTCGGGAGGCTGAGACAGGAGAATCGCTTGAACCTAGGAGGTGAAGATTGCAGTGAGCTGAGATCGCGCCATTACACTCCAGACTGGGCAACAAAAGGGAAACTCCGTCTCAGAAAAAGAAAAAAAAGAAAATATCCAGTATTCTCCAGATTAGCTCTGGCATCTGGGAGTACAGAAATCACCAGGATAGAGGGGGCAAAATTAGATAACTTCCAAGTTACCTAGCCAAGATGTAAGGTCATGCCTTGTTGACGCCTTTGTCCCTAAGCTCAGGCAAAACTTGGTGGGAGACAAGCTGTCTGTCTGCAGACACAGGTGGGAGAGGCCAGCCAGGTATCTGCCTGGGCTTTCCAAGCTTGCCCAAGGGGAAGGTGCACTCAGGTTTCAGGTGTCAGACCCCTATGCCAGAGCTGGTAGCAGTCAGCAAGAGGAGCTGTCTGTCATCGGGTTCCAGACGGCAAGGAGCCGGCACTGATGATGTGGGCTGGGTCATGGGAGTTGGCTCAGGTCTCCCCGGCTACCCAGCACGTTCTTCCCTGGATCTGCCACATCCCTGAGATGAGAAACGTGACCCCAGTCCCCTCTGGGGTGCCAGATGAGGCAATGGATATACAGCATCATTAACCTGATCCCTGCTTCTGCCTCTTCTTTTCATAGGCATATTTTGGGCTTTCTCTGTATATCCCACAGAGCAGAGGGCGCTGAAATAGAAGTAAAACTGAATGACTGAATGTACACACCCTATTGCATTCCTTCTAGGCTCCTAGGGAATCAGAAGCTCCCCTGAGCTGCAGTAGGGAGTTGGGGGAAGTGAGTGTCATTTCTGGGGACAGCCTTTTCCTACCTCCCTTCTCTGTCCAGGGACAGGCTCTTGGACCCCTAGCCCATTTCCCAAATCTTCCAGAGGCCAACCTAGAGGCCTCCTGCCCGCTGCTGCTTTTGTCCTCTTTGATCCCCCTCCAGGTCTGATTCTGGGAGTTCTCACTCTTCCTTTCCATTTCCTCTTCCTTACAGTTCTCCAGATACCCCACCACTGGGACCCTAGAGCTGAGCTAGTGTCCATAGCTAGTGAATAATTCATCAGGCTCAGCAAGAGCTAAATTAGACCCAAGGTGATACTGTGACCAGGAGGCCTCCTTTGGGCATCTGGAAAGGCGAATCCTGCCCTGGAAAGACAAGTGCTCTGTAACATTAACTTCATTGTATAAGGTTTCTTCATTGCCTGAGAAGGTAGCTTCAGATCCAAATATAATCTGGGCCCTGTGCCTGTCCACTGACTTCTCAGGGGCTCAATGGCTTATGGGCATGCCCCCCAAGAGGTGCCACTCATGTCCTTTTGAAAGCCTTCCTGGCATCAACAGTCAGCTGAACAGCATGCTACAGTTTGCAGAATGCGTTCACACACATTTCTCGTTTAGTCACGTCAGCTCATGGTATGCTCTGAGCCCTTGAGTCAGCAGGAGCACACCAGAATTCGGTGTTTCAATCCTCTGCTTTTAGAAAGGAATTATTCCAAATTATTCCTGGCAAATAGGGTGGGGTAGAGGGTGCTCTGCTTCCTAAAAGTTGCCCAAAAAGGAGATGTGGCTTCCTCTCCGGGTCACTTTCTCTTGGGCCTGTTCCCAGTAAAACCTCCTCCAGGGAGAGTGACTATAAAGGCATGAAATCATCCGTCTTTCCTACCTGCCTGGTACAGATTTTGATTTGCCTAAAAGTGACCTATGTAAGTGGTTCTGTTCACTGCCCAACATCTGGGCTCATGTCTGTGCCCAAGAAGGACTACCTAAACAGGAGTGTCTGTGGCATTAGATGGGCAGAGGACCAGCAGGAGAGATGGCATACTCCCTCCCTGGAAGCAGCTGAAAGGTGCCCTGGTGTGTGCATGTGGGTGCTGCCCTGCAGCTTCCTCCACTCTGGCCTGATCTGTCTGCTTTCCCAGCTCACACAGCTGTGCCTATTCCTCCACGTATTCCTAGGAAGCATGCCCACCTGGGTTGCTGCTGTTCACGCTGAAGAATATTATCCTTCCTCTCGCATTTCCCTGGGGGTTAGCAGAGCTCTTTGGTCACATGGGTTTCTAAGAAGATGCACCTTCTGGCTTGATCTGAAAGTGAATACTTGGGGAGGGAACCTCTGAAAGATGACCATTTTCCAAACCTCCATTTCCAAGCAGGCTTGGTGAGCATAAAAGAAGCCGCCAGCCTTTCAAAGAGGAGTCCTCACTGGCAGATTTTCACAGCACATTTGGGGCCTGAAATTTTTTTAAGGCCTCACCTTGTATTCTAAGCTACTAAATTTAGCTACTTTTTAGCGTGGTTCTTTGCTCCTAAAGCCTATGACTTCTCCAGTTTCCCACCCTTCAAAATGTGTGGTTTGTGATTTTTTTTTTTTTAAGAGAAAGAAAAGTAGGCCAGGTGCAGTGGCTCATGCCTGTAATCTCAGTGATTTGGGAGGCCAAGGCAGGAGGATCACTGGAGGCCAGAAGTTCGAGGCCAGCCTGGGCAACATAGTGAGACCTTGTCTCTCTTAAAAAAAAAAAATAATAATAATAAAACTAGCTGAGTGTGGTGACATGCACCTGTAGTCCCAGCTACTTGGGAGGCTGAGGCAGAGGATCATTTGAGCCCCCCAGAGTTTGAGGCTTCCGTGAACCATGATCACACCACTGCACTCCACCTTAGGGGAAAGAACGAGACCCTGTCTCTACAAGAAAAAGCAAGAAAAATAAGATGATTTTAAAAGGGCAGTGGGGAGAGAACGGAAGAATAACAACAAGGCAAAGGAAGAGAAAATAAAAAAAATAAGATTTAAAGAATACTAAAGAAAGAAGGGGCATGGCATAAAAATTAAGGGAAGAGAAAGAAGGATGTGGAAGAAAAAACTAAACTAAGGGGAACCCAGTAAAAGGGCTGAGACCTTCCAGACGTGCAGAGAGAAGAGCCTGTGCCCAGGACCTGGGCTTCCTTCCAGTCCACCCTTCTCAGATGACAAGAGCCTATCTGTCACCCCCGCCTCAGGCTTAACTTGGAAGGGTGGAAAGAGTGAAGCCAGAGACCCCCTGCCACAGCTCAGCTGCCCATCCTGTGAATTGATAGTGACCACTCTGTGTCACTGAGATGTGGCCTCCATCTCTGCCAGGCCAGAGAGGAGGCGCCCCAGGGATGTCCAAGACTGACCAAGAAGTGCAAGTGATGTGGCTTACTCCACAGCTCCTTTTCTTTGCAAAAGAAGAGCTGCTTTGCAAGTGGTGTCCTTTCAGAGCCCACTGCTTTAGTGCCCTTGGCAGCTTTTCCCAGGTGTGCCTGCAACTCTCTTTGCTCCTGATGGCAGCTACTTCTTTGGCTTTTTCTGTTTCAGACCAAGTCTTCCAGGTACTGTCTGGAATACTGTGGTTTGTGTATGCATGTGCACATACATCCATGGTGAGGGAGCTTCAGGACCAGTCACCTATTTCAGTAAAACTTAGAAAGTGCCATGTGTTTGCACGAGGGCCCTGGGAGATAATGGTCCTATGTACCATTTGCAGCTAGGAGAAGTGAGACTCAGCTGCACAGAGTCTCCAAGGCTTGGCTCATTCACCCTCTCCTCCATCTCCTGATGCCACTGGTCTCACTCTCCAAGGCCGCCTCGTCCAAGCTGCTGCTTTGTAGTTGCTCCTGCCTCCTCACAGTTGTGAAGCGGCACGGACAGAACATGGAAGCCGCACAGCTAGCAAGTGGCAGGGTGTGGATTTTAGACCAGGTCTTCTGACTCCCAAGCACTCTGTGGGCCACTGAAAGGCTCATCCAGTGCCCAGCGAGCCCAGCTCTGGCACATCTTCCTGCCAGACACATTCACCTTAACCCCCTGTCTTTACGCCGTCCTCCCATCACATTTGTGGAAACAGTCTCAGCGCCTACAGTGACTTGACCAAGGTCACTTAGAAAGCATGGAAGTGAGTCTCACGCCCAGGGCTCTACAGGGCCTTTCCCACCATGCCACCATGCTTTGGGCTATCTGTTCCCCACCCCCACCACAGGAAGCTCTGCATCCTTGGCAGATTTGGGAACACGTCTCATGTATAAAGACGAGCAGGCTTAGAAAAGCATTGCTCTGCTGCTAGCTTGCCTGGCAGACATCTCCCTGGTTCTTGTTTGCTACTTTTCTCCTAGTGAACTATTGGTTCCCTCCTGAACCCCTGTTTTCCTGCTGTTCAGTTATTGTGCTGATGGGTAAGCTGCTCTTGGAGTGGAGCTATAACCTTCCATTAGGGAGCTGCCAGGTGCCTGTGTTGGGGGCAGCTCTCCCCAGTTCATTCTGGTGGTGCAGCATGGCCTTGCAGGAAACTCTTTCTGTTGCTTCTGAGCCCTCCTGATCCCGGGAAGCACAGAGAGACCTACCATGCAGAGTGAACCCCAGGGCTCTCAGCTCACTCGGCCCCTCCCCACCTGTCTCCTGCTGCCACTGCCTTCTCTTCCTTTTCCTCTGCTTAATAAGAAAAAGTTTAAAATGTTAGCTTGGGCTGGGCATGGTGGCTCACACCTGTAATCCCAGCACTTTGGGAGGCCAAGGCAGGTGGATCGTTTGTGCCCAGGAGTTCAAGGTCAGCCTGAGCAACATGGTGAAACCCCATCTCTGCAAAAACTAGCTAGACATGGTGGTGCACACCAGTAGTCCTAGCTACTTAGGTGGTTGAGGTGGGAGGATTGCTTGAGCCTGGGAGGTCAAGGCTGTAGTGAGGTGTGATCGTGCCACTGCACTCCAGTCTGGGTGACAGAGCAAGATCCTGTCTCAAAAAAAAAAAAAAAAAAAAATCCTAGCTTGGTGGGGCCTAGCCTGGAGCGGGCAGAGAAGGGGTATCTTGGCCGGGTGCAGTGGCTCATGCCTGTAATCCCAGCATTTTGGGAGGCTGAGGCGGGTGGATCACGAGGTCAAGAGATCAAGACCATCCTGGCCAACGTGGTGAAACCTCGTCTCTGTACTAAAAATACAAAAATTAGCTGGGCGTGGTGGTGCACGCCTGTAGTCCCAGCTACTTGGGAGACTGAAGCAGGAGAATCGGTTGAACCCAGGAGGTGGAGGTTGCAGTGAGCCAAGATCGCGTCAATGCATTCCAGCCTGGTGACAGGGCAAAACTCCATCTCAAAAAGTGAAAAAAGAAGGGGTATCTTGAGTATGAGAAGACCAAGCTGTCTTTGTTTCTACCTGAGACAGAACTGCAGTGGCTGGACTGCCTTTCATGGCAGCTAAATGAGGTAGATCATTTCATTGTTTTACGATGTCAGTATTGAGGGAGGATCAGTCTTATGCTAGGCACAGTGAATGGTCCAGATGAACATAAGATCTGATCCCTGCCTTATCATTTAATAGGGGCATAAGACCTATTTACAAATAACCCTTATGCAAGAACAGTGCTTGGTGCGAAAATATAAAGTCAAGATCCAGTACCATAGGAGGGGGATCATTTGCAGAAGTAGGGGAGCTGCCAGAAGTGTTCCCTGGCCCTACAGGTCAGAGCTGGCCCCAGAAATTGGGACCTATGTAATATGCTTTGCCAGGCTTCTTCACAAACCCCAAGTCATCAGCCAACCACAAATGTTTGTATAGTTTCCATGAGCCCAGGGTATGAGGACTCCTGATCTCAGTGATTTTGGCCTGCAAGCCCTGGCACTGGCTCCCAGAGATAGCACTGGGCCCTTATCTCTTCACACCTTCTTGAATTTGGGACTACCCAATCAACGTGACGCGTGTCGGCCATCAGTATTTAAGCCTGGAGTTCCTCACCAGACTCAAGTGGGTGCAGAATCCATGTCTTTCTGAACGACAGTTCTGCTGTGAGAAGCTGCCATTAGAGAGATCCAGCAGGCCCCAGGACTCAGCTGGCCAGCCGGTGACACTGCTCACTGCTCATTGTCCTCAGCTGTGGACCTCTGTCCCCCTCTGCTGGCCACTCACAGAATTTCCTGCTGGCACTGTCAAGATGAAGTCCAAGGAGGAAGAGACTGCTGTGAGTTTCCCATCTGTGCTTTATCTTGGGTGTTTTTGCCAGGGCAATGCTGGCAGAGACTGGGAAGCAGAAGCTAGTGCAGAAGTGGCCATTGGTGTCCAGGGCAGAGACTGGATTTCTGGGACAGGATCTCAGGGCAGAAGAATTCCCCTGGTGAGGCTGGCTGCTGTCAGCTTCCTCCAGGTGGTTATTGGAGTAGAGAAACTGCCTTGGAAGTGATGGTGCCTTAAGCCAACGGGCAGGGCAGCAGGGAGAGGAGGAGAGGACTCTGGCTGGAGCTGGCTGTGTTAGGATCTGCCAGGGAGCCCCCCTCCAGGCTCTAGTCTTTTTTGGCTTTGGAGAGCTCTTCGCTATCCTGGAAGGCTGGCTGGGAGGCTCACTTCCATTCCGAATCCATGAGACTGCTCTGTTTGTGAGAGGAGCTTCTGATCATGGGAGGCATTTCTGTGAGATGGGAGGGGTGAGGTGGAGTGCCTGTCTTCTGGGTGGTTGAAGGATGCAGGTGCACATGTCATGTGTCCTCGTGCACATCCCTTTCAACCCCCTTTGCCCCCCACCCCCACCCCTCCTCATTGATGCCTGTCACACCTGGGTGTCCTTATGCACACAACTCACAGTGGAACAGCTGGACTTGTGGAGGGGCATCTCATCAGAGCTCGGTCCTCCCGCGCTCGGTGATCCTCCCTGTCTCCTGCCAGATGGGAAGGAGCAGCCCGTGAGCCCCAGGGGAGGGGGAAATCTCCTAGAGCAATCCGCCCCTAATCCCCAGGCTGTGCCTCAGTCTGGAGATGGCGGCTGCAGAGTCTGGGAACTCAGGCACACCTGCTCGCAGCCCAGTGCTGCCCAGGGTCTGTGACCCCGGGGGCCTGACACAGTCCGCAGACAGCTGGGGCCTCAGAGCCCCGGGTACCTCATCGCCGGCACGGCTTCGGGAAACAGTGCCCACACAGGTGAGGCGTCTGGTGGGTGGAAGGAGAGAATTTCACCGGGCGGGGTGGAGTTGGGGGATGGGAAAAGGCCTGTTCTGCAGTTAGTCAGGTGGGCTGTGCTTACACTCCAGTCTCTCAGGGAGCTCTCCTCCAGGTATAGAGAACTGTTTGTGGGTGGGAGAAGGGAGGAGCCTTAGGCTGCCAAATGCTGGGAGAGCCCCTGGGGTTGGATGTGGGCGCCCTGTGCAGGAAGGCAGGTGAACCCTGGCAGAGATGCCTCCAGAAGCTGTGGCTATGTGGCACTTCAGCTGGGGCCCAGGCACCTTATTAAGTGGAGGGGTGTTCCTGGTTGTGGTCGCTTGTGTCTGTGAAGAAACAGTGACAGGAATGGGGACTGTGAAGGTCCAGTGAGTGCTGACCCCAGGGAGACAGTGGGAGAGGCCATAAGGAGTAAAATGTTTGGGTACTGAGAGTTTTTAGGGAATTCAGAGGATGGACAATGGAGAAGACCTGAATATGAGAGGGGAGCTCGGGGCCCCAACTGGGATCTGTGGGTGTGAGGAGACGAGGAGGGTGCAGGACATTTACTGGACAAAAGGGCTTTGTTCTCCACAGGGCAGACACTGAGGGGAGGATGTAGTTTTCATCAGAACTGAGGGGTGGCCCTAATGGAAGGGGCTAGAAGCCAAGGGTTAGATGAGAGGGATGTCTCCACCAGGACAAGAGAGTAGCCCTTAGGGTCAGGGCAGGAGGAAGAACTTGCTGGCCACAGGAGGTGGCAGGTGGAAGCCTCTACCTGGTGTCAGCTGATAATAGGCAGCTGGCTCTGCACTGCCTGGAGATGAGTAGTTGCTGCTTGAAAGGATGAGTGAGTGACTTTCCTTGTCTCTCGGTAGTTTGCACCTGAAATCCCCTTGTAGTAGAGCGAGATGCCTTTTAAAGCTACTGAGGGCATGCTCTGCCCTTCGAATCCCCCATGTGGCAGCTGGGGCCTTGCTACAGGGGTTTTGTCACCCCCTTGTGCCCATGGTGAACTGACTCAGGTCCATACTGCCCCACATGTGTCCCATTCAGTGTCTGAGCACGTGGTGCCTGCCCTCTTGAGAAAAGCCGCTTAGGCTCCCAGGCACCAATTAAACCGATAGGTAGGCTCTTTCTCCACCCCCACCCCTTTGCCCACCTGGGAGCACCCGGGTCAGCTGTGATGACACATCCAGAGCTGGAGTGAGCAGCTTCCTGTTACCCACATATCCTCACCAGGAAGGCAGAGAGCCACCAGCCCCACCGGGCTATTCCTGCTGAGTTGAAAAAATGGAATGGGGAAAGCCTCTGACTTCAGGACCAAGGGTTGGAATAATTTTTCCACCCTGCTCTTGCTGGAATGTTGGGTTGGTACAAGAAATTTCAAGTTCCTTCTCTCCCAACTTTACCGTAAGGTCACATGACCTCTTTGGGTTGAAGGATTTTAGCTGGCTGTAGGCTTTCCTCTCCATCCTAGTCTGGTTGACCTCCCCTTCCATCTGAGAATGGGTAGAAAAAGGGAATCTGAGCGTTCTTTATCCCGAGAGGGCCACTGAAATCAGAGTCACGGGGCAGCAGTCAGCAGATTGAAGCATCTCTGCTGAGTCACCCAGGCCTGCCAGCCCCGGGGCCGCACTCGCCTGCTGGGCTCTGACCCACTGGGAGCCCAGACCTTGCTCCCAGGAGCGGTGTTCTGCACAGGCCTGGGCCTGCTTGTCTAGACCCATAGACAAGCCAGGGTTGACACCTGACTCCATTGTCAGGATGACTGGGCTGCCCTGCTTTCCTAAAGGGAAGCATAGGAACCCCCAAAGCTTTTTCTTTGTCTTTTTTTTTTTTCCATCTAAGAGTGACCTTATATTGTCTTTCCAACTCCTGAGCAGATGGCTAACATGAGAAGGCCCCTTTCTCCCTGTCAGCCTGCTGTGGGGACCCTAACGGGTTCTTTGCGAGTCTGGGAAGGGGCTGCCTGCCTCAGAGGGAGGAGGGTCAGAGGTACAGCTTTCTCGTGCAGCTGGGAGCACAGGTGTGGAGCACATGTTCCTTGCAAATGGCAGCTGTTTCTGTGGTCTATCTTGAAAACTGCTTAATGCATTTACATTATGAAGAAAGAGAACCACGATTCACATTTCCCAATTTACATAGCTAGTGCCCTTCCCCTCCCTCCACACAGCTTCACTTAAGCCTGGATACTTTCTGTTCCAACAGTGTCTACTGTGTGCCTCCCGGATATCGGGGATCCAGGCTGCTGGGCTAGTGTGTGAGAGGAAGCACCGGTGTCCCATGTCCAGGGCCGGGTTGACACGAGGACACTGAGTTCAGGCCCTGGGAGGAGGTGGAAACCCCAGGAAGTTCCACGGGAGCCAGGGCTGGGAAGCCCTGATCCGGCAGCTCCTTATAATCTGGCAGAGAGCCTAATCCAGCTTCATTTAGTGTTGTGAAAGGGGCCAGGGAGGTGAGTCCGGGGTGCCACCAAGGCCATGTGGAGGGGAGCCCCCAGGTGTGCGTGGGCTGAGGGTAGATCTCACTGGAGCAGGAAGAGGAATAGGGAAAGTTGGGTCTTGGACACTTGAGAGAACGTCCCAGCTCTGGCTTATCCAGACATTTGTCAGCACTTCTCAGCCCTCAGCCTTTGTGTAGAGCAAGATGTAAGGCCCTGGCTGGTAGGGTCCCTGAGCAGGGGGCATTCTGGTGTGGAGGGGGATCATGGAAGAAGTATGACTCTCCCTCCACGGTTCTCCTCTTAGAGCTTGCCCAGCCCATTCACAAGGATTAATCTGGAGTCAGGTACCTGTGGAGTGGCCAGCCTATCTCAGGCAGGTTGGGGTGGGGTGAGGAGGTCATGGTGTGGGGGCCACAACTCCAGGTGTGGTGCTGGTGGCTGGGCATGGATAGGGAGCTGGGTGGCATGGGCCAAACAGGACTCTGTGATGGTCTGGAGAGAGGAGCAGTGGTTCCTGTGTAGCCCACCTGTGCCCTGCTTTGGGCTGGGGAACCTTGGGCATTTCTGCCTGCTACTGACTGGGAGTTGAGTGATCTGGTCTTTTTAGTCAACCAGCTGCACGACAGGGGTATTAGGAGTGTGTTAGGAAGAGCTGCTACCCTACTAAACCTGACACAGTGAGCTGAAGGACCCAGAGACCCTCCTGCATACCCACTCTGTAATGGACAATGGTGGGAGCTGTGGCCCAGGCCAGTGGAGGACCCTGGCCTTCCACACCCAATTGTTGAAACATCACCTCCATCTAGTTCCTAAACATTTTCAGCAACCCCAAGGAAACCCTGTACCCATTAAGCTGTTACTCCCCATTCCTTCCCCCACCCCCACCCCAGCCCCCTGGCAGCCACTAATCAGCTTTCTGTCTCTGTGGATTTAACTGTTCTGGATATTTCATATAATGGAATCATTCATTATGTGGCCTTTCTTGTCTGGTTTGTTTCACTTAGCCTAACATTATTGAGGTTCACCCATGTTGGAGCATTACCGGCACTTTGTTTCTTTCATGGCCGAATAGTATTTCATTGCAAGAAATGTCACATTTTGTTGACCCATTCATCAGTTAATGGACATCTGAGTTATGTCCACCTTTTGGCTATTGTGAATATTGCTGCTATGAGCATTTGTGTACAAATGAGTGTTGAATACTCATTTTCAATTCGTTTGGGAATTGAAAATATCTAGGAGTGGAATTGCTGGGTCATAAAGTAATTCTATGTTAACTTTTTGAGGAACTCCCAAACTGTTTTCCACATCAGCTGTGCTGTTTTATGTTTTAGGTATGTTGCACAAAGCTTCCAATTCCTGCACATGCTCACCAACACTTATTTCCTTTTTTTTTTTTTTTTTTTTTTGAAGCAGGGTCTCACTCTGTTGCCCAGGCTGGAGTGCAGTGGTGTGTGTGATCATAGCTCACTGCAGCCTCGAACTCCTGGGCTCAAGCCATCCTCCTGCCTCAGCTTCCTGAGTAGCTGGGACTACAGGCATGCACCACCACACCTGGCTGTTTTTTTATTTTTTGTAGAGACAGGTCTTGCTGTGTTGCCCAGGCTGGTCTTAAACTCCTGGACTCAAGCAATTTTCCCATTTTGGCCTCCAAAAGTGCTGGGACCACAGGTGTGAGCCGCTGTGTGCAGCCCACTTATTTCCTTTCTAAAAATTACTAGGGGCTGGGCTTGGTGACTCATGCCTGTGGCCCCAGCTACTTAGGAAGCTGAGGTGGGAGGATTGCTTAAGCCTGGGACGTCGAGACTACAGTGATCCACGATCATGCCATTGCACTCCAGTCTAGGCCATGGAGTGAGAACCCGTCTCAAAAAAAAAAAAATTATTATAGTCATTCTAAGGGTGTGAAGCGTCTCTTAATTTGTTCGTATTTGTTTCTAAGCACCTGCTTTATGCCCTTTACTCAGTGTTTCATCTCATCGTCCTGATAGCTCTCAGCTGGTAAGTGACAGAGCCAGGATCTAAATTAGTGCCCAACTCCAACTTTAAAGCCCTTTCCTTTACCTTCCGCAGACCCTGTATCCTGTCTCATGGCTGTTCTTTTTGGCAAGTCTTTCTCCTTTTCTCACCCTCTGTCCTGTTCCAGCACTCTGAACAGCTTTCTCATCTTTTTCTTCTTGTTCACTAATTTTCTTTCCTTTGTTAAAGCATAATCTTTCCTTTGTTAAAGCTGTCCCTATCTGTGTACCAGCTCCTTGGCTCTGTTTACCTTGGTTGCCCTCTCTCCATCGAGTCCTGAAAGGTAGCTGTCACCCTGGGTACATGTGCTGGGGAAGGCAGGGCATGGAGAGCTCCCCACCTTCTTCAGACATGCCAGCTCCCTCCACGGGGAAGGAGAGCAAAGTGATGTTCTGTGATTGGAGACCCAACAGCAGATCCCAGGCATTGTAAACCTCTGTGAGGGGTAGGAAAAAGCCGGCGTCCTGCTGCAGGACTCCCAGGCTGGAATCTTGACCCTGGGGTAGAGAAGAGGGGCTAGCAAGAGGACCAGGATCCCAGCCCAAGGCCCCTCCACACACCAGGCCCAGGAGTGTCTCTTCTCTCATTCCTGGGGATTTCCCAGCCAGCTCCGACTCTGCTTCTCAGAGTTGTAACTAGACAGCTCAGCCTCTCAGGGATCTGGAGGTCTTGGGTTTCCTCCAGGGATGGGGGCAGGGACTAAAGATCCTGGAGGGGAAGGATGGGGGGATGTCTGCTATTTCCTGTTAACATGCAGGGTGTTTCCCTTGTTCTCCAAACTTTGAAATAACCTTTCCTGGGTTTGGTCAGCTTGTGTGTGAAGAAGGCAGATCCAAGTGAGATAAATGTGAGGTTTGCCCCAGAGGGAGGCTACCCCATTCTTGATTTGAGGAGTGTCTCAGTGCAGGCTGGGGCTCCAGGCAAACTCTGCCTACATCCCCGTGTCCTTCTTTGCATCCCTGATGGGTGGAGTTGGGGACTGCAGGATCTAAGGAGGAGGCTGGTGGTGGGGAGAAGCTCTTAGATGCTTTCCTGAGGTTGGGCTCCAGGCTACAAGCAGGAATGAGCTCAGTCTCAACTAGGATCTCGTGGTGAGTCCGTAGTAAAAGTCTCTGGTTGGCAGGGGGAGTTATTGAAGGGAGTTAATTCAGATGGAAGTGGTTGCCGAGGTGTTCCAGCCTCGAATGCAAAAACCACAAACAGGATCTTGGTATCTCCCACAGAGTGTTCCCTCAAGCACCCCCCACCGCCTCCCGCAACACACACAAACCTCTTCTCTCTCTTGTTCTGAGGTTTGCCCACATGCATGCAGGTACACACACACACACCCCTAAGCACGAGACGGGGCTGGGTGGGCAAGTGGAGTCTGCATGGAGACCAGTGAGATTAAGGGTTACCTCCAGTGAGGAAGGCTGGAGATGCCACCGTGATGTCTTCAGAGGTGATTTTAAATGCTATGGCCAATATTTGGACCTTTCTAAGGATTTGCACGCCCTCAGATATGGAGAAGGCAGGACGGGGCTGGGGAGAACTCCTTTCTTTTTCCTTGCTCTCTCAGGGTGTAAAAACCCACAGTCTGGCCGAGTGCAGCTTGGCTCAGGCCTGTAATCCCAGCACTTTAGGAGGCCAAGGCAAGAGGATTGCTTAAGCCCAGGAGTTTGAGACCAGCCTGGGCAACATGGCAAAACCCTTTCTCTACAAAAAAATACACAAATTAGCCAGGTGTGGTGGCATGTACCTGTAGTCCCTGCTACTGGGGAGGCTGAGGTGGGAGGATTTGAGCCTGGGGAGGTCAAGGCTGCAGTGAACCATGATTACCTTACTGCACTCCAGCACTCCAGCACTCCAGCCTGGGCAGCAGAGTGATTCTGACTCAACAAAAAACAAAAAAAGCCTGCAGTCTTAGCTATATGAAATTCCAGTTTCATCGCTGTGGAGTGAGGCTGGGCTGTGGTTGATAACCACTGATTAGACTCTTGCTTCCTAAAAAGGTGGCAGAGGGCCAGCTCTCCCAGCCAAAGGTGTCTTAAGCTGTGGATCTGTCAGAGCTACCCAGCCCTCCAAGGTGAGGTTAGGCCCTGAGTTTTGGAGCCAGACAGGATTTATATTCTAGGTTCTTTACTTACTAGTGGTGTAGTCCTGGGCAAGTTACATCTGTAGGCCTTGGTTTTCTCTCCTGTAAAATGGAAATAATAGTGCTACCCATCTTGTGAGGTTAATACTGGGATTAAATGAATTAATAGGTGTAAACACTGAGAGACAAGTCTGACGTATGTCAAGAAATGTTAGTGTTTGAAGGAGATTGGTTCCAAGACCCCCTGCAGATACCAAAGTTCCAGATTGCTTAAGTCTCATACAGTAAATAGTGTAGTATTTGCATAGAACCTGCACACATCCTCCCTTTAAATCATCTCTAGATTACGTACAATACCTAGTACAATGTAAATACTATGAAAATAGAAAATAGTGTGACACTGTTGTTTCTTGTTTTTTGTTTTTTGTTTTTGTTTTTGAGACGGAGTCTCTGTCACCCAGGCTGGAGTGCAGTGGTGCAGTCTTGGCTCACTGCAACTTCCGCCTCCCAGGTTCAAGTGATTCTTCTGCCTCAGCCTCCTGAGTAGCTGGAACAACCGGAACATGCCACCACACTCAGTTAATTTTGTTTTTTTTTTTTGGGACGGAGTCTCGCTCTGTTGCCCAGGCTGCAGTGCAGTGGCGTGATCTCGGTTCACTGCAAGCTCCGCCTCCCAGGTTCGCGCCATTCTCCCGCCTCAGCCTCCCGAGTAGCTGGGACTACGGGTGCCCGCCACCACATCCCACACCCAGCTAATTTTTGTATTGTTAGTAGAGACAGGGTTTCACCATGTTGGCCAGGCTGGTCTCCAACTCCTAACCTCAGGTGATCCGCCCGCCTTGGCCTCCCAAAGTGCTGGGATTACAGGTGTGAGCCACTGCGCCTGGCCCCTGTATTTTAAAATTTGTATTATTATTATTTTAATCCATGGTTGGTTGAATCCATGGATGTGGAATTCTCAGATACAGAAGGCTAACTATAATTGTTATCCTTATCCTTTGTCCAAAACATTTAGAATTTGAGAAAAAGAGAAGAGCCCAGAGGCCATAGGGAAAATATGCCACCTTTCTGGAAGCCAGTGGAACTGAGTCCTCCACAGGGAAGAGAATAAAATGGGGATATGTTCTGTGACTGGAGACTGACCCGCTCAATCCAGGCATTGCAGACCTTCATGTCACCAAGGAGGTGTCCAGGCCTCTGTGGAGGGACGGAAGGAGCTGGTGTCCTGCTGCAGGACTGTTAGGCTCAAGTCTGGGTCCTAGGGTAGAGAAGAGGGGTGGACGAGGGGGCCAGGGCTTCAGCCCAGGCCTCTGCACCCACCATCAGGCCCCAGCTGTTTTTCCCAGGAGTGTTTCTTCTCCTCTCATTAATGGGGATTTCACAGCCAGCTTCAACTCCGCTTTTCCATTTGTAAGCCAGAAAGATGCCAAATCAAGGGAGGAGAGAGCCAAGCTGCTAGGAAGGAGCCACGGCAGGTGGAGACTTTGCTATTTTACACTCCTGTATAGTCCTAAAACACTTTTGCTTTTCACAGCATTTCACATCCATTTCTTATTAGCTCCTCCCACTCTCCCCCTAAGTAGTTGGGACAGACTCTGTCCCTGTTACAAAGATGAGCAAATGGCAGTGATGCAGCCAGACTCAGAACCCATTTTCTTTTCTTTTTTTTTTTTTTTTGAGACGGAGTCTCGCTCTGTCGCCCAGGCTGGTGTGCAGTGGCGTGATCTCGGCTCACTGCAACCTCTGCCTCCCAGTTCAAGAAATTCTCCTGCCTCAGCCTCCTCAGTAGCTGGGATTACAGGCGTCCGCCACCACGCCCAGCTAATTTTTGTATTTTTAGTAGAGACAGGGTTTCACCATGTTGGTTAGGCTGGTCTCGAACCCCTGACCTCATGATCCACCCGCCTCAGCCTCCCAAAGTGCTGGGATTACAGGCATGAGGCACTGCACCTGGCCCCAGAACCCATTTTCTAGATATTCTTTCTCCCAAGAAGACAGTGAAAGAGAGCTGGGCATCTGTGGAAAGGGCAGCAGCTTTATAAGAGAGACAGGTTCTGGGCTGGGCGTGGTGGCTCAAGCCTGTAATCCCAGCACTTTGGGAGGCTGAGGCGGGCGGATCATGAGGTCAGGAGATCGCGACCATCCTGGCTAACACGGTGAAACCCCATCTCTACTAAAAATACAAAAAATTAGCCGGGCATGGTGGCAGGCGCCTGTAGTCCCAGCTACTCGGGAGGCCGAGGCAGGAGAATGGCGTGAACCCCGGAGGCGGAGCTTGCAGTGAGCCAAGATTGCGCCACTGCACTGCAGCCTGGGCGACAGAGCGAGACTCTGTCTCAAAAAAAAAAAAAAAAAAAAAGTTCTGTAACATCAAAGGCCATGTGTTGCCTATAAAACATAATTTTGGGCCGGGCGCGGTGACTCATGCTTGTAATCCCAGCACTTTGGGAGGCTGAGGCGGGTGGATCCCCTGAGATGAGGAGTTGAAGAGCAGTCTGGCCAACATGGCGAAACTCCATTTCTACTAAAAATACAAAAAAATTAGCCGGGCGTGGCGGCTCATGCCTGTAATCCCAGCTACTCAGGAAGCTGAGGCAGGAGAATCACTTGAACCCAGGAGGCATAGGTTGCAGTGAGCTGAGATGGCCCCACTGCATTCCAGCCTGGGCGACAGAGACCCCGTCTCCAAAAAAAAACAAAAAACAAATAAAAAAAAAAAAACCGTTAATTTTGTGTAGTTCTAGCAATACAGAGTAAATTTGTTGGTATAATTTCTGAAATAAATTTAGGCCAGCTTGATTGCAGGCATTTTTTCTCCCAGGGGAAAAAAGGGATTACGCTGCCTAGATTCAGATTCAGCGTTTAATGAGCACCTTCTGTATGCTTCGCACTATGCCAGCTTGCCAGACGTCATCTTGTATAGCTCTCACAAAAGACCTGAGAGTAGCTGTGATTACCCGCTTTTTGTCGGCGAGGACACTGAAGGTCAGGAAAATGGAGAGATGGGCTTTTTGCTGTCACTGCAGGGAACAAGGCAGGAAGAAGCAGCCTAATTGCAGGTTAGGGTTTTAAGTCAGGCTACTGGGACAGTTAAGACCTTGGAGCAGATCACTTAAGGGAGACTGTGGGTATGAAAGGTCAGAAATTCTGAGAAGCAGAGTCCTGAAGGTATGAGCACCTGCTGGGAGGTCAAGGGGGGATGAGGGGAGACCCAAAGCAAACATAAGAGGGAAGTCCTGACTTCAGGAGTGATTAGGGATGGGGTTGTGGTTGTCCACAGCATCCCCAGGGGGAAGTGTAACCTGGAAAAGCCCCAGTGGAAGCCCACAGAGGAGCCGCCCTCCCCTGGCTCCTGAGTTTGGCAGGGCTATTATTTTCAATCGTGTTTTCCAATAACTTTGCACCTTGGCAGAATCAAGCCAAGTGACTTATGCCTGTAATTGGCAGGGACTGTTTCCAGTTCTGGTGCATGTGACTGGGCCACTATCTTTGTGTTTAACCCCTTCCCCCACATATATCTGACCACACCCCTGCCCCCTCCCATACATACTAAGGGCAAATGATCTGACCCAGCCTTGCTTGGGGTGTGCTGTGTGTAAAAATACATGGGGTTGAGCCATTTCCTGCTGCTTCCGTTGTTGTATGGCGATAAGACACTGGGGACTCAGCTGTGGACAGAAAGATCCTCCAACAGGCTGAGAGGAACCAGGCACCAGGGGAGCAGGTCTCAGGCCTCCCCGCTTTCAGCCCACCTTACATTTCCCATCTTTCCTATCTCCTGTGACCTTTTCCTCCTTTCTCTCCCTCCCCATCATCCTTTCTTAGTCTCTCTTCTCCTTTCCTTGTCTCTCCGACTTTGGTGCCACCCTGATGCACTCGGGAAGCCTGCCCGCCTGGTGGGGAGTGAAGGGGGCTGTCATTTCCTTCCTACGCATTCACCCTCTGCAAAGCTGGGCGGCTAGTAGCCTCAGGCCCCCAAACTGGTCCCTGCTTCCCTTGGCCTTTGAGTTACTTCTGGGGCTTTAGTCCTCGGGGACCTGGCCAGCAGGGTGGGGGTGGGGCATGCTCCTCTCCCAATTCTCGGATACTAGGAAGGACTGGGGGCTTCCACCATTATGAAGCGGAAAAGGTTACCAATGACTCTGGAGAGCCGTAAGGTAATGGAGGGCCTGGGAGAGGTGTCAGCAGAGGCAGGGTGGCCCGCTGAGCTGCGTTGTTAGTGAACATGGGGTGGCGAGGGCAGGCAGGCAGGGCACAAAGTGTAGGCGGTCAGCCCTGAGGGAGAGGCCTGCTCAAGGCAGGAGCCTTATGAAGTGGTTGAGTCCAGAGAGAAAATTTGTCTCATTCCTCAGAAATCCAACCCCATGACTCCAGTGAGGCCTCAGACCTGCCTGGTCCATGTGCTGGAGCTTTAAGAGCTCTGGGCTGGGGCCAGGCGTAGTGGCTCACACCTGTAATCCCAGCACTTTGGGAGGCCAAGGCAGGCAGATCACTTGAGGTCAGGAGTTCGAGACCAGCCTGGCCAACACGGTGAAACCCCATCTCTACTGAAAATACAAAAATTAGCCAGGCATGGTGGTGGGTGCCTGTAATACTGGCTTCTCGGGAGGCAGAGGCAGGAGAATCCCTTGAACCAGGGAGGTGGAAGGTGCAGTGAGCTGAGATTACGCTACTGCAGTCCAGCCTGGGCAACAGAGCGAGACTGTGTCTCAAATAGATAAACAAACAAATAAATAAAAGAGTTCTGGGCTGGAGGTTCTGTCCCTTCCTGGCCGTGTGTCCCTGAACAACTTGTTTGACCTTTCTGGGCCAAAAGAGGAGCAGCTCTGCCTAGACTGCATTTTGGGGATGCTGTGGGGACGGGGTAGAGAGCAGATGTGAAAGCCCTGTGTAAGTGGCTGTCAGGGATACTGCTCTTGTGGTGGTTGTCTTCTTTTGGACTCCTGCATCCATTTTCTAGATAGAAAAACCAAGTCCAGAGGCATCCAGGGGCACTCCTATGGTCCCAGGGTTTACCCATGCTTCCTCTGCCTGCCTCTTTCCCCAGGTCGATAAGGGAGACCTGGTGGCCCTGAGCCTCCCCGCCGGCCATGGTGACACCGACGGCCCCATCAGCCTGGACGTGCCCGATGGGGCACCGGACCCCCAGCGGACCAAGGCCGCCATTGACCACCTGCACCAGAAGATCCTGAAGATCACCGAGCAGATCAAGATTGAGCAGGAGGCTCGCGACGACAATGTGGCAGAGTATCTGAAACTGGCCAACAACGCGGACAAGCAGCAGGTGTCACGCATCAAGCAAGTGTTCGAGAAGAAGAACCAGAAGTCAGCCCAGACCATCGCCCAGCTGCACAAGAAGCTGGAGCACTACCGCCGGCGCCTGAAGGAGATTGAGCAGAACGGGCCCTCGCGGCAGCCCAAGGACGTGCTGCGGGACATGCAGCAGGGGCTGAAGGACGTGGGCGCCAACGTGCGCGCAGGCATCAGCGGCTTTGGGGGCGGCGTGGTGGAGGGCGTCAAGGGCAGCCTCTCTGGCCTCTCACAGGCCACCCACACCGCCGTGGTGTCCAAGCCCCGGGAGTTTGCCAGCCTCATCCGCAACAAGTTTGGCAGTGCTGACAACATCGCCCACCTGAAGGACCCCCTGGAAGATGGGCCCCCTGAGGAGGCAGCCCGGGCACTGAGCGGCAGTGCCACACTCGTCTCCAGCCCCAAGTATGGCAGCGATGATGAGTGCTCCAGCGCCAGCGCCAGCTCAGCCGGGGCAGGCAGCAACTCTGGGGCTGGGCCTGGTGGGGCGCTGGGGAGCCCTAAGTCCAATGCACTGTATGGTGCTCCTGGAAACCTGGATGCTCTGCTGGAAGAGCTACGGGAGATCAAGGAGGGACAGTCTCACCTGGAGGACTCCATGGAAGACCTGAAGACTCAGCTGCAGAGGGACTACACCTACATGACCCAGTGCCTGCAGGAGGAGCGCTACAGGTAGGTGCCTGCCCACCCCCTCCTGCAGCCCAGCCGGACGTGGGATGAGGCAAGGAGCACTGGGTTTCAGACCCAGGGTGTGGAGGCAGTCAGAGGAGCATCCTCAGCCTCCTGGCTGCTGGAAGGAGCCAGCACGAGGCCCTAAGGAGCCTTCTTTCTTTTTTCCTTCTGTATTTTTTGGAGGCGGAGTGTCTCTCTGTCGCCCAGGCTGGAGTGCAGTGGCACGATCTCAGCTCACTGTAACCTCTGCCTCCTGGGTTCAAGCGATTCTCCTGCCTCGGCCTCCTGAGTAGCTGGGATTACAGGCACGCACCACTACACCCCGCTAATTTTTTGTATTTTTAGTAGCGACAGCGTTTCACCATGTTGGCCAGGCTGGTCTCGATCTCCTGACCTCAATTCAGGGATGACATTAATTCCTTCTTCATAGGGTCATAAAGATACAATGAGTCCAGACCTGTAAAGTCGAAGCATGTGAATGGATGTATAGCTTCCAAAACATGAACCTCCAGTCGGAGCTCCTGGGGCCAGCCTGGAACAGAGCTGACATCTCTCGGCCTCTCCTTCTGTGTCTCCCTCCGGTCCTGTGCTGCCCTTTTCTGCCCTTGGCTCTGTGCCTCTGCAGCACTTGCCGCTCGCTCCCTGGGCTTGTGGGGGGATCTTTTCCTTAGCTAGCACTTTCTCTTTTTCTTCTCCATATATATAAAGAAGGCTTGGAAAATTGAAGGGGAGCCCCACCTAAAAGCTAACCACTCCTCACATAACAGTCATCTTACGCTATTTTGTGCCTTCAGAGCCGGGATTGTGTCCTCTACACCCATGTGTCCCTGGTACCCAGAGAGCATCTGAGCCTAGGGCTTAAGAGCCCAGGTTGAAGTCAGCCAATCCTTAACTCCTCCATTCATGAGCTGCGTGATCCTAGGCAGGCTCCTCAGCCTCCACGCCTCAGTCTTCTCCTCTGTAAAATGGAGATGACACTGGCACCTATCTCATGGGATTGTGGGGAGGATCCTATGAGGTCATGTAGGTAAAATGCTTAGCACAGTGCCTACACCTAAGAAGTGCTGTGTAAATAGTAGCTTCTATTGTTGTTGCTGTTAAAATTAGAACAGAGCAGAGCTGGACACGGGGGATGGGCTGAGTCATTGTTTATTGAGAGAATGAATGAATCAACTGTGGGAGAGAGTGGAAGCTCGGGGAGCCAGGACTGGTGTCACTCTCTCTCCCTCCGCCAGGTACGAGCGGCTGGAGGAGCAGCTCAACGACCTGACTGAGCTTCATCAGAACGAGATGACGAACCTGAAGCAGGAGCTGGCCAGCATGGAGGAGAAGGTGGCCTACCAGTCCTATGAGAGGGCACGGGACATCCAGGTATGGCCAGGGCAACCTTGGGAGGCCCCAGATGTGCTGGTAGAGCTGGCAGCAGCCAGAGGGTTAGGGTTCTTGTCACGTGGGGCATGATAGACACAGGCTGGCCTGTTGGCCGGGGCCGATAGGCACATGGATGAAGAGGGCAGCGTAGCGGGAGCGGAGTGGAGTGAGCAAGACAGGCCTGAGGCTGACAGCGTGCACTGTGCAGAGGCAAGCCCACAGGGCAGAGGCCACCATGCCCCCCACCTCTTTGATGGCAGCTTCGCAAATGAGTATTTGGAGTTTCCAGGCTCCAGCCTGCCTCAAGAGGGAGCCAGCTGGGATTGGGCCAGCTCTTTTCCTTCCCTAGTAATCAAGACTCTCATTTCCTAGCATCCTCCCCAAAGAGTCATCCTTAAAGGTCTCTGACCCCAGTTGCAGCTGGTCAACCTCCACTCCTCCTGGCCTTTGGAGAGGAGACTTCGTTATAGGCACCTTCTCAGTGGGGTAGGTAGGTTTTCAGCCTAGGGGTCCTGCCCATCCTGAGCGCACACATGCCAGCCCCTCTGCCCCTGCAGGAGGCCGTGGAGTCCTGCCTGACCCGGGTCACCAAGCTGGAGCTGCAGCAGCAACAGCAGCAGGTGGTACAGCTGGAGGGCGTGGAGAATGCCAACGCGCGGGCGCTGCTGGGCAAGTTCATCAACGTGATCCTGGCGCTCATGGCCGTGCTGCTGGTGTTCGTGTCCACCATCGCCAACTTCATCACGCCCCTCATGAAGACACGCCTGCGCATCACCAGCACCACCCTCCTGGTCCTCGTCCTGTTCCTCCTCTGGAAGCACTGGGACTCCCTCACCTACCTCCTGGAGCACGTGTTGCTGCCCAGCTGAGTGGCCAGCCACACCAACCCTGTGCTCTCTGGCCCCCAGCTGGCCACACTTCTCCAGGAGGGACCCTTGGACTTCTTTGTGTGTCCAGTTTGGCCTCCTGCCCAAACTGTCCATTCCAGCAGCTCCTGCCCCCTTCTCTGTACTTGCTTCTGTCTGACACCTTCTCCCTGTTGGCCTGAAGGGAGCTTAGAATGCAGCCCTACCTGGAGATAGTGCGGGCACCTGTGGCCAAGTGGAGCAGAGGTGGACATGGGGTTGGATTGTTTTGATTATTTATAGTTACACAAGGACTTCTCCCAGCTGACCCTCAGGATGCCCCAAGTCAGGAAGACCATTAAGAATAGGAGGAGAGGGCTCTGCCTCAACTTTCCTAGGAAAGAGCCCACCTCGGAGATAGCTACGGTTTTCTCTGGTGGAGATGGTGAGGATGAAGGCTGGAGAGTGAGGGAGGAGGCTCTGCTGGCCGCAGAGAACACAGGGATGGGAGGGTCCCTAGCCTTCGGGCACCTCCAGGGCCAGAGAGCAGGCTCAGAGCAGCTAGTGTGGAGCTCAGCATCCCCACCCCACCCCTCCTCCCTGTAGAGCTGATTTGAGGCCTCCTTCTGGGGCTGGGCTCTGCAGGCCAGGTGGGTGTGGCCTGTGTTTTCCCTTCTGTTCTTTCTGCCTGTACTGGATCTGTTATTTTCAGGGAAACAGGCCCCAGGGCCCCCCTGAGCCTCACCCTAAGCCCTTAGGCCTCTGAGAGTGCTGTTGGGTTCTATTTATTTATTTATTTGTTCCTTTGTTCCCTACCCGTGCCCCCAGTGTCTTCCCTGCTGAGTACCAGGAGAGGTCCTGCCCCATCCTCTCTCTGAAGCCAGGGCCCTTCCATTCCATTTAGCCTTTGGATCATCCTGGCTGGGAGAAGTGGGACCGAGCCACCCAGCCCCACTATCCCCAAGCAGCCCTACAGCCGGGATGGGAGGCACGTGGCCTCTCTTTTATCCGTCTATTTATTTTGTAAGTGTATTCGTGTGGAGGAGGTTGTTGCTTTATTTTTTTAAGGCTCTGGAGTGTTGTGTATGGTTTCTTTTCACATCCCAGCCTCCCATGGGCACTTCTAAGAAGAGAGGGGATTTCTTGGAAAAGGAGAGAGGAATCCCCTAGAGCAGGGAAAGCAGTGCCTGCCAGCTGTTGTGCACCTTCCTGAGAAATAAATATCCTCTAAATTTTCAAACCATCCTGTCTGGTGTTGGTTGATTAGGTTGTGTCTGTGGGAACCACCACGTCTCTCCCCACACCCAAGCATTCTGGGTAACACAGGCTAGGCCTCTCCTGTTGACCTGAGGCCCTCTTCCTCCAGAATCCGACAAGGAACAAGGCATGGCCTAAGCGGTATGATAGAAGGGATGATATCCACCCCATCCAGGCCTCTTAGAGTCCAGGCAAAGGCAATTAGGAGAGAGATTTCCATAGCTCGGAGCAGGTGAGCCACCAGCGGCCTGAATGGCAGCAGCCATACCCAAGTGAGGCCACGAGAGGGCAGCAGAGTCCTTACGCTAACACTTTCTCCCGGTGCAGCCCCAAAGAAGGCAGCTGCTGGAGTTAGCTTGGTTTTCTCAGAGCCGTCAGCCAGAGCACAGAGCACCTGCTCTCCAGGTGCTGGAGCATGGGCTTGAGTGTAGTGACCAGGCCCTCTGTGGCTGCAGCACCCACTCCCGGCAGTTCACACAGATGGGCACCCTAGATGGCACTGCACTCCCAGCAGTAACCCTGTGGGGGTTTAGGAGAGGCCACCTGAATCTCCCTGCTGGGATGAAAAGATGCTGACTTCCAGCATCTGGAACAGGAGGGATGGTGGGAAATGCACCCACCCCAGAGACCTGGGTCCTGGCCCATAGTGAGTAGATGGCAGCCAACTCACATCTCTCTGCACCTCAGTCTCCACATCAGCGGTAGAGGATGTGCAGCAGCTCACTTCGAAGGGCTTGGACATTCTGCAGTTCTGTGGGTCTGACAAATCAGAAGTTGCCGCTGTACTTGTGGCCTCAGGCTTGAGGAGACAACAAGAGTCAGAGACAGTGCTGTCACCAGATTGGAGAGAAGGCTGTGCTGGTGCCACGGGGGGTGGCATTGGTGGCTCATCCTCACCCTCTGCACAATGTAAGAGTTTCACTAGGTGACCTTGCCGGGGCCTTCCAACAGTGTCATTCCTGGACCCTACACTCACCTCCCTTGGGGGCCACAGGTGTCCTAGAGCCCACATTCCTGGGCCCCAGGTGGGGGGTGGCTGCCCCAGGCTGCAGACATTTCCCACATTCCTCCCCAAGGTCAGGTGCCTTCCCTGAATTAAATGTCACTGCCAACAACAGCCCACACTGAAAGGGAGGAGGAAAAAGGGAGGGAGGGTGGCGGCCATGCTCAGCTGATCCTGAGACTGACAGCGAACAGAGGAGGTGGGGGAAGACCAGCCCCAGCTACACAGGGTCATCTGCAAAAAGGACAGAACACCAGCCTGTGTTTGCCTTATCATGACAACGTGTCTAATAAAGCCCTGCCTGTCTGGGACTCTGATGGTCACTGATGCTTCCTTGTTTGTGTTTGAGCCTTCTCGCCCTTTAGAAAAAAGGGGGTGCGGCCCGGCATGATGGCTTACGCCTGTAATCCCAACACTTTGGGAGGCCAAGGTGGGTGGATCACCGGAGGTCAGAAGTTCGAGACCAGCCTGACCAACATGGTGAAACCCCATCTCTACTTAAAATACAAAATTAGCCGGGCGTGGTGGCACATGCCTATAATCCCAGCTACTTGGGATGCTGAGGCAGGAGAATCACTTGAACCTGGGAGGCGGAGGTTGCAGTGAGCCAAGAGTGTGCCATTGCACTCCAGCCTGGGCGACAAGAGTGAAACTCTGTCTCAAATAAAAAAACAAAAAAAAAGAAGGAAAAAAGGGAGTGCATTGCCCCCACTTCAACCTGGCCTCCTTTGCTGGGGACCGTTCTTCAGAATGCAGGGCCAACAGGCAGGTCCTTCCCAGAGCATCTGTCATGCAGGTCCCAGCCCCTCACCTGAGGGTCCGGAGGTCTCAGCCAGGCTGGTATGCTCCCCTCAGCCTGGGTCCACTACAGAGGGAGTAGCTAAGAATTCATGTTGAAGTTGGCACGTTACTGCTCCAGCAGCACTGAGCAGGCAGGTGGCATGTTTACCATGCCCGTGCAGAGCTGGCACTCCCTGCCAACCTCATCAAAACTGTAGGGCTACAACAGGTGCAGCCCTGGCAAACAGCAAAGCAGGCAGACAGCACAGGCCAGCAGGAGGTGACTTAACCCCTGCCAGCACAGGTTACTCTGGAGTGGTTCTGAGCTATGGAGGGAGGGAAGGGAGGAGGAAAGACTTGGGGCCACAGGGTGGGAGAGGAGGGGAGCTGCAGCCTGGGCACCTGGAGGGATCTTCATGGCAGGTTCAATTTCCCTTTCAAAGCCAGGGCCCTTAAGTCAAGTCTGGATCCCAATATTAAGGAGCCAGCAGACCTAGGCTCAAACCCCAGTGCTGCCACTCACCTTGGACAGGGTTCCAGCTGCTCTCAGCCCAATCTCCTCATCTTCCAGGAGGAATGGAGATGACATGGCACTGGCTCACAGGCTTGGGTGCAGGAGACTTGACATTCTGCAGGTCAAGACTTAAGCACAAGGCCTAGAATATGATGGATTAACCCGAGACTGGACTTATTACTGCTCCTCTTTCCTGAGCCTGTAAGATATTAAGATGCAGAAGAACTCTTCAGGGAAGTCTAAGGCCGACCCCACAGGAACATACAAGGCCAAGGGTGGCTAAGTGAGCCTCAGCCTCTGATTCTGGAAAACCTAATAGAGGTCCTTAGGGTTCCTCTTCCCTGGGAACCCAGAGCCTGCTTATTCCCAGCAGCCTCTCCCCTCGGTCTGGTAGACAAAGCTGGTCCAGTCCCAAGAGGCCAAGCCCCAGCTTGAGAGAGGACTGGATTCAGCCTATTTGACCCAAGATGGCTGCCAACACCCCAGCTCCACAAGTGTATCAGTCTGTGGGTCCCTCCCGCCTCCAGCCCATGGTCCTGGGTGTGGGGTCTAGGAAGGAGAGCAGGAATCAAGATGCCTGCTTTTGAGTTGAGACTGTGGAGGTTGTGGGCCTCAGTTTCCCCAGCTGAAACATGGGGATAATCATATCCGTGCTGCCCAACTGTTAGGACACCGGTGAGGCTCGTAGGTGTCAGCTATGAGTGCCTGCCCCATGACACCCCAGGATCTCACTCTAGGGGAATGACCTGTTAGAATGCTGCCAGCCATCTGGGGCCCCCAGGGAGGGCTTTGATCTGCCCAGGGACAGGGCTGGGCAGGGCTTGGGAAAGCAGCCAGCAGTGACCCATGGGCCTGACGGCTTGCAGCCAAACTCCAGATGCAGATGGAAGGAGGAAGCTTGGTCCCCACTAGGCTGCGGGGAGGCATGTGGGGAAGGAGGGGAGGCTGAGACTTGTCCCAGCACATTTGGGCCTGCTGGCAGGTCCTGAGTCACTCAGCCAGAAGAGCAGTCGGGGTGGTGACAGCAGCGATGCCCGCCAGACACAGGGCCTCCCAGGAGAGCACTCCCGCCTTGGTCCCCCCATACCCCAAGGCTCGACTGTCCGGATGAAGCATCCTGGGCCCAGCGGTGCCACCTCAGCCATGCGCCTGCCTCCAGGCAGCCATCCACTAAGCTGGCTCTGATTCCAAAAGCCCCAGAGGTGATCCTGAGAGGTCTGGGTGCCCAGTCTCGGCGCCCTGCCAGCCTCAGCTGAAGGTTCTCTTGTTGCCCTTACTGTGTTTTTTTGTTTTGTTTTGTTTTTAAGTGAAACAAATTATTTCAGTTTAATTTTCTCAGCATGTATCTGGCATTAAGTAGTTGTTATAATTTTTTTTCCATAGGTTATTGGGGAACAGGTGGTGTTTGGTTACATGAGTAAGTTCTTTAGTGGGGATTTGTGAGATTTTGGTGCACCCATCACCCAAGCAGTGTGCACTGTACCCTATTTGTAGTCTTTTATCCCTCTCTTGTTGCCTTACTTTGATTTTTTTTTTTTTTTTTTGAGACAAAGTCTTGCTCTGTCGCCCAAGCTGGAGGGCAGTGGCACGATCTTGGCTCACTGCAACCTCCACCTCCTGGGTTCAAGCTATTCTCCTGCCTCAGCCTCCTGAGCAGCTGGGACTACAGGTGTGTGCTACCATGCCCAGCTAATTTGTTTTTTGTTTGTTTGTTTGTTTTGTTTTTTTGAGACGGAGTTTTGCTCTTGTTGCCCAAGCTGGAGTGAAATGGAATGATCTTGGCTCACCGTAACCTCCGCCTCCCAGGTTCAAGTGATTCTCCTGCCTCAGCCTCCCAAGTAGCTGGGATTACAGGCATGCGCCACCATGCCTGTAATACTAATTTGGTATTTTTAGTAGAAATGGGGTTTCTCCATGTTGGTCAGGTTGGTCTCGAACTCCCAACCTCAGGTGATCTGCCCACCTCAGCCTCCCAAAGTGCTGGGATTACAGGTGTGAGCCACTGCACCCAGCCTCATTTTTGTATTTTTAGTAGAGACTGGGTTTTACCATATTGTCCAGGCTGGTCTCGAACTCGTGACCTCAGGTGATCCACCTGCCTCAGCCTCCCAAAGTGCTGGGATTACAGGCATGAGCCACTGCGCCCGGCCACTTTGGTTATTCTTGCTGTGATCTCAGCTCCCTGAAGATAAGTCTCAAGTAAACACTTTAGAAAGATCTGAGTGTTTCTCTGGCTGGTCTGGGGCTCTGTTCTTTGCTCTCCTGTAGGAAGAGTGAGTCCTCTCCGTACCACCCTAGTTAAGAAACCATCCACTCCTACCTGGCGCTGTCTCCAGCTATTACTTAACTGGGGTCCCTCTGTCCTTTTTCTAGTTGGGGTCAGCCCCAGTCACCCATACTGAGCGTGGAGATGGAGAAGAGAGGATTTCCCATGAAACTGGTCATTAAATGAACTCATGCAAGAGACAAGTCACCAACACAGACCTGATGTCTCTCTGACCGGCATCCTCCTCTCGAGCTTCTCAGCCAAGTGTGGCCTGGCCTGGCCAGGCCAAGGGTGGGAAGACCTGAGTGATGGGATTCCGACTTCTGAGAAGGAAAAGGCCAAGGAGGGGTTCCCTTCCTTCTTCTTCATTTTCTCCTCTGTTGGTCTTGAAGCTCTTATCATGGTTTGGCAGCCATGGAGTCCAGGTTTGTGACCCCCAAACCACCCAGCTTTAGGTTCAATTAAATTCAAGAAACATGGTTTTGAGCTCCGGCTCTGTGACAGGCACTGGAGACACAGAGGAGCAAGACATGGTCTCTGCTGTCATGGAGCTCACGAGCTAGTGGGGACAGACACACACAAACACACACACGCACACGCACATGCACACACACACCATCAACACAAGGGCAGGCAGAGATCAATGCTGCCATAGGGCCTGGCGGGGACAGGAAGGTTTACAAGATGTAGAGCTTCCTTCTGATGGGGGCTAGGGGAGGTTTCTCCAAGCATTGGAGGAAGCATAAGAAGCAAAAAGGGACCGTGTTCTATAGCATGATGGCTTTGGTCACGTCCTGGGGTTGGAGTGGGAGACAGGGTATCCATGGCATGAGTAGCTGTGCAGTTATTTCAGGCATTAGCACTGCCTGGCCCACAACCCAGAGGGCAAGATACCTGAGGAAGGGGCTTCTAAGTCTGTGGCAGTGAGAAGGAGAATGAGGATGGCTTTCAGAGCGGGAAGGAAACTCCACCCCAGAACTCTGAGGCTTGGGGGCTTCAAAGGGGTTGTCTATGCTTGAAAGCCAAAGGTGGCTGGGCACGGTGGCTCGTGCCTGTAATCCCAGTACTTTGGAAGGCCAAGGCAGGTGGATCTTGAGGTCAGGAGTTCAAGACCAGCCTGGCCAACATAGTGAAACCCTGTCTCTACTAAAAATACTAAAATTAGCCGGGCGTGGTGGCGCGTGCCTGTAGTCCCAGCCACTCGGGAGGCTGAGGCAGGAGAATTGCTTGAACCCAGGAGGCAGAGGTTACAGTGAGCCAAGATTGCACCACTGCACTTCAGCCTGGGCAGCAGAGCGAGACTCTGTCAAAAAAAAAAAAACAAAAAAACAAGGAAAAAAAAAAGCCAAAGGGAAGGGAAACACAAAACCACAACAACCACGCAGGTGCCCCTGGCATGGGGACAACCCATTGAAAGCCAAAGGGAAGCCAGAGGGAAGCTTTCAGAAAGAAGAGAAAGAAAAAGCATTCCCTTGAGGAAGAGCTGGAGCCATCTGGCATTCTGGGGATTTGGGGATTGATGCTTAGATGTGCTGTGTGACACTGAGCAGGTAACATCACCTCTCTAGTTCTTGTGTCCCCATATCTACACAAATCAAGAACTTAGGATGGAGAGACTGACATGGCTAATGAGTGACCAAGCCCTGGGGGCTGTGGGAATACCTAAGATGGTGTCTGTGTGCAAAGCCAACTCAAGGGCAGGTTCCCAACATGGTAGAGGGGAGGCTTATGGAGTCAGGGTGGTGGAGAGTAAAGACAGGTGTGGGGCCGGGTGCAGTGGCTCACGCCTGTAATCCCAGCACTTTGGGAGGCCGAGGCGGGTGGATCACCTGAGGTCAGGAGTTCAAGACCAGCCTGGCCAACATGGCAAAACCCCATCTCTACTAAAAATGCAAAAATTAGCTAGGCGTGGTGGCGCGTGCCTTTGGTCTCAGCTACTCCGGAGGCTGAGGCAGGAGAATCGCATGAACCCGGGAGGCGGAGGTTGCAGTGAGCAAAGAAAAGACAGATCTGGGACCTGTGTTCTGACCACCAGAGGGGTCCTCAGTGCTGGATGGTCAGGCCAGTGAGGAGCTCCAGGTGAGGACAGGAGCAAGATTTGGGCTCCACTGGGCTTCCCTGGCCTCTCTGTCACCCTCCCCCAGGGGTGAGGCTGAAGATGAAAGCGATACCAGGGCTACCCTCTCTGCTTGTCAGCTTTAAGATTAAAAAGGAGGTGGCTTCCACGCAAAGCAGCTGTCATCGACTCTGGTATGATTTGAGGGTGTGGGAAGGCCCCACCCTGGCCCAAAGTCATGGCAATATGAACCCTTTTTCTGTTCAGGCCCTTATAGCTCACAAATGCTTCTTGTGTGCTGGACTGAATCATTGTATCCTCACAGCAACCTGGAGAATGGCCAGAAAGGTGTCACTGGACTCTATTTTACAGATGAGCAAGCTGAGGCTCAGAAGGATGAAGGGAACTCACTCATGGACACACAGCTAGTGGACAGCACACCCAGGATGAACCCAGGTTGGACAACAATGCTCCTGCCTGTAACTGAAGCGTGACAAGCCATATTCAGGTTAGGCGTTACTTCTTCGTGTAACATGCAGGTGTGGCTGGGTGCGGTGGCTCACGTCTGTAGTCCCACCACAGGAGACCGAGGCAGGAAGATCACTTGAGGTCAGGAGTTTGAGACCAGCTACATAGGGAGACCCTGTTTCTACCAAAAAATTAAAAAGTTAGCTGGACATGGTGGCTCACGCCTGTAGTCCCAGCTACTGGGGAGTCTGAGGTGGGAGACTTGCTTGAGCGTGGGAGGTGGAAGTCGAGGCTGCAGGCACTACATTCCAAACTGGGTGACGGAGCAAGACCATGTCTCAAAAAAAAGAAAACCAAAGAAATGGGCCCAGCATGGTGGCTCATGCCTGTAATCCCAGCACCTTGGGAGGCCAAGGTGAGTGGATTGCTTCAGCCCAGGAGTTTGAGACCAGCTTGGGCAACATGGCGAAACCCTGTCTCTACAAAAAATATAAAAGATTAGCAGAGGAGGGTGGCGCGTGACTGTAGTCCCACATACTTGGGAGGCAGAGGTGGTGGATCACTTGAGCCTGGGAGGCAGAAGTTACAGTGAGCCAAGATCATGCCACTGCACTTCAGCCTAGGCGACAGAGGGAGGTTCTGTCTCAAAACAAACAAACAAACAAACAAACAAACAAACAACAAAAATGTAGGTGCCCCTCTATTCACAACAGCAAAGACTTGGAACCAACCCACATGTCCATCAGTGATAGACTGGATTAAGAAAATGTGGCACATATACACCGTGGAATACTATGCAGCCATAAAAAAGGATGAATTCATGTCCTTTGTAGGGACATGGATGAAGCTGGAAACCATCATTCTCAGCAAACTATCGCAAGGACAAAAAAAACCAAACACCTTACTCATAGGTGGGAACTGAACAATGAGAACACTTGGACACAGGGTGGGGAACATCACACACCAGGGCCTGTCATGGGGTGGGGGGAGGGGGGAGGGATAGCATTAGGAGATATACCTAATGTAAATGACGAGTTAATGGGTTCAGCACACCAACATGGCACATGTATACATATGTAACAAACCTGCACATTGTGCACATGTACCCTAGAACTTAAAGTATAATAATAAAAAAAAATGTAGGTGCCCCTGGTGTGGGTGACAACCCATTGAACACTCTCCTGCTTTTCAGGAGAAAGGGAAGGTTGGAGTTCGGGAAGTTGAGGGAAAAAATCACTTTCAAAGAGGCAGAAAGCAAGACAAAATGTCTCCAAATTCTGTTGACTTTGTATTTTTTCTCAAGTCTGGGTCCTTCAGCCATGGAGCTTAACTCTAACCCCAAAAGCGAAAAGCCAGGGAGAGGTTGCAAAGGAACTGTTCACGCTTCTGTTCTTCAAACCTGTAGAAACGTTGGCTTGGGCCAGGCATGGTGGTTCATGCCTGTAATCCCAGCACTTTAAGAGGCCGAGGTGGGTGGATCACTGTAGGTCAGGAGTTCAAGACCAGCCTGGCCAACTGGTGAAACCCCATCTCTACTAAAAATACAAAAATTAACCAGGCGTGGCGGTGCTGGCCTGTAATCCCAGCTACGTGGGGGGCTGAGGCAGGAGAATCACTTGAATCCGGGAGGTGGAGGTTGCAGTGAATTGAGGTCGCGCCACCGCACCCCAGCCTGGGCGACAGAGTAAGACTCCATCTCAAAAAAAAAGAAAAAAAGAAAGAAACATCAGGGCCAGGCGTAATGGCTCACACCTGTAATCCCAGCACTTTGGGAGGTCAAGGCAGGTGGGTCACCTGAGGTCAGGAGTTCCAGACCAGCCTGGCCAACATGGTGAAACCTCGTCTCTACTAAAAATACAAAATTTAACCAGGTGTGGTGGCACACACCTGAAGTCCCAGCTACTCAGAAGGCTGAGGCAGGAGAATCACTTGAACCCGGGAGGCGGAGGCTGCAGTGAGCCAAGATTGGGACACTGCACTCCAGCATGGGCAACACAGTGAGACTGTCTCAAAAAATAAAAAAAGAAACATTTGCTTCGTGTAGGAGCTGGGGTATCCAGAGGTGAGCTCGACAGACTCTGCGTGAACATCTTGAAATCTATCGGGAAAGACAGAGATGAAAATAGGTCAGTGACAAGAGAGCTTGGTAAGTGCCAAAATAAAGTCAGGATCTGAGGAAGAGTACAGAGCAACAAACTGCCAGAGGCGAGCTGGATCAGCAGGCAGAGCTCTCTCGGCTCCATGACACACCCATCATCACACACTTCACCCATCCCAGCGCCTCGTTAGCCTTCCAGCCAGAAAGTCTTTTTTTTGGGGGGGATAAGGTCTCACTGCAGTGCAGTGGCACCATCTCAGCTTACTGCAGGCTTGAGCTCCTGGGCTCAAGCGATCCTCCCACCTCAGCCTCCCGAGTAGCTGGTGGGACCACACCCACTAATGCACCCGGCTAATTGTTTTTTTATTGTAGAGATGAAGTCTCACTACGTTGTAGAGATGAAGTTCACTATGTTGCCCAGGCTGGTCTTGAACTCCTGGGCTCAAGCAATCTTCCCACCTCGGCCTCCCAAAGCAGAAAGTCCTTTCTGTTACCTCGTTTAAGTGTCCCTTGTCCAGCAGTGCCCAGTACACCTGACCATGGCCAAGGACCTCACCCTATGATCTCAGCAACTAGAAGACAAAGGGCTGTTAGGCTGGATGCGGTGGCTCACGCCTGTAATCCCAGCACTTTGGGAAGCCAAGGTGGGTGGATCATGAGGTCAGGAGATCAAGACCATCCTGGCCAACATAGTGAAACCCCGTCGCTACTAAAAATACAAAAATTAGCCAGGCGTGATGGCATGCACCTGTAATCCCAGCTACTCAGGAGGCTAAGGCAGGAGAACTGCTTGAACCTGGGAGGCGGAGGTTGCAGTGAGTCGAGATCATGCCACTGCACTCCAGCCTGGGTGACAAAGCGGGATTCTGTTTCAAAAAAAAAAAAGAAGAAGAAAGAAAGAAAGAAAGAAAGAAAGAAGGAAGGGAAAGAAAGAAAGAGAGAGAGAGAAAGAAAGAAAGGAAGAGAAAGAAAGAAGGAAAGAAAGAGGCGACTGTGGAAAAGGATGATTAGGGACGCTAAGGAAGGTAAGAGGTATTTTATCCTTTTGTACAAATTTGCCTCAGCCTCAACTCCTCATCTCTGGTGACAAAAACGTTTCTTTCCCCCCGGGGACAGGGAGAAAAGGGAGGAGGTCAGAGTTTGTCTTTTGTATCAGCTGTTTTTCAAGTGAGAGTAACCCTTATGCTGAAATGGCATATTTTGGTGTGGCATATTCTGTCCCTCTTCAAAGATACATGAGACGACATATGCAAAGCATTTTGCATTGTAAGATGCTTATTACTGTCACTTCACAGATGGGAAATGAGATCTAGGCAACTCTCAGGGTCCAGCCACCAGAAGGTTGAGGAATGCGGGCTCTAACCTACATCTGTCGACTCCAAAGCCACACAGCCGCCCACACAAGGTAGCTCTTTTCCTCACCTCACCCCCTGAGCTCTGGAACACCTTTGTTCTGCCCAAACGAGAATGAAGCAGCAACGGAGGCAGCGGCAGGGGAACTGTAAGGTGGCCCCAAACTCAGACTGTCCCCAAGTTGGAGGCCTGCTAGGGCCTGGGAGCACAGCAGTCCCCCACCAGGGAGTCTTCCCTTCCCCACCTGCCCACTGCAGACTGGGCACCCCTGCTGCATGTGTCTGACCTCTGTGAACCTCAGTTTCCCCAACATACAATAACCCTGACAGTCTGTCATTCTGTGCTTCTGTGACGTCAGCCTTAGGAGTTATCAGGGACCCAAACTTGGGCTTCACAGGGGGCAGGATGGAGGCCCTGCCACTCGGACCAGACCAGGTTGTGGTGAGGGGCAAGGGTGGTGCCTCCAGGCACCAATCCAGAGTGACCTCACTCTCTGCAGGCTCCCCTGGGGCCCTGAGGGAGGGTGGGGTGCTGGACAGGCCTGCTAGATGGGAGCAGGTTTGGAAGGAGGTTTAGGAAGGGTGCGGTGGGGAAGGTGTGCCGCTCAGGTTCAGTGTGATCACTAGAGAGGGGCACGCCTGCCTGCATCGTCTGCCATGCCAGACAGGGCAGGACAGCTTCTCCCCCAGCCTGGGCCTTTAGGATCCACTGTGTGACCATCCTGAGCCCCTTAGCAAGGTGTGAGCGGGGTTGGACACCCTCCCCTCAACATCCATCTAATGTCAGCCACCAGCCCTGCCTTGCTGCATGATGGGAAATCAGGGTAAGGGAGCCAAACCCCAGCTGCTCTCAGAGCTGTGAGGACAAGAGTGGAAAACCTGCCCTCACAGGCCCAGCTGGCCAGAGGGCTTGTCTCTTTCAGTCGCCCTCCCCCAGAGGGAGCAGGAGCAGACAATGGCCACCATGACTCACCAGTGAGCCATCTTCCCCTCCCCACCCCTCCAGCCTGGCCCATGACAGCTTAGCTTGTCCTCCAAGGGAGCTGCAGCCCAGCCTCCCAGGGCCGCCAGCTTCCTCTCTCTTCACCCAACCTGGCTCCCCCCCTGCTTGTGCAACACCACATCAGAGGGTTGTGAAGTGGAGAGGGAGGAGTTTGACAGCTGCAGACCCAGGCAGACAGAGCAGACTCCTTTGTGAAGGAGATAGAGGCTGCAGGGGCCCAAGTCCAGCCTGTACTCCCCTGCCCTGACCCACAAGGCATCACCCAGTCTCCCCAAACCCTAGGGAAGTGGTCATTGTCATTTATTTGTTCCTTTCTTAGATAGAGCTTGGATCCTGTCTGCAATTTATTCCTTCCTGCAAAACCAAGTATGTGAGGCAGAGGAAAGTCCTATTCCATTCCAGGAGGGACAGGGCTCCCTGTTGGAAAGTATTTCCTTTTGCTAAGTTTCTATCTGCCTCCCGGGTAGACTCCACTAGGCAGTATTTCAAGAAGTTAACGCACTTCCAATCCCCATCTAACCTATATTCTTTGCCGCAAGCCAAATACCCTTAGTTCTTTCAGTCATTTCTCCTAAGACATGGATTTAAGACCTTTTGACAGCTTGGCCTGTATCCTCTGGAAACATTTCCATTTACCCAAGTTCTTCTTAAAACATTATGTCTTTGTCCAGGTGCAGTGGCTCACGCCTGTAATCTCAAAGTGGAGGCTGAGGGAGGAGCATCAGTTGGGTCCAGGAGTTTGAGATCAGCCTGGGCAAGATGACAAGACCCCATCTCTAGTTAAAAAAAAAAAAAAAAATTACTGATTCTCACCAAAAAAAAAAAAAAAGCCAGGCGTGAAGACATGGGCCACCTACTTGGGAGGCTGAGGTGGGAAGATCGCTTGAGCCTGGGAGATCAAGGCTCTTGAGCCTGGGAGATCAAGGCTGCAGTGAGCTGTGATCACGCCACTGTACTCTAGCCTACGCGACAGAGTGAGACTCCATCTCTAAAAAAACGAAACTAACCAACCAAAAAAAAAAAAAAACCACAAAAAGCATGTTGTTTTGAACAGAGCGCAGTGCTCCAGCTAAGGTCAGGCCAGCACAGAGGGTGCTAATGAAATTCACCTCGCAGGCTCTGGCACTGTGGTTCTCATGAGCTCTGTTAGCTTGCCGGTATTTTCAGACCCACATAGGCATGTCCTTGTTGAGCAGGTCACTTCGGTTCATGAATACGGCCACCAAGGATTTGAGGCCCCTCTGCCTGCCCCCCATGGAGGGAGCCCTAGGGCTCAGATGGTGGCTCTTAACAGACCTCAATGGTCTGATGAAAACTCTGCATCCTCTTCCAAGAAAAACGCATCTACTCAAAAATTCTCTATATG
This sequence comes from Homo sapiens, assembly GCF_000001405.40. Lineage (NCBI taxonomy): Eukaryota > Metazoa > Chordata > Mammalia > Primates > Hominidae > Homo > Homo sapiens. The sequence continues at coordinate 205,286,264 of NC_000001.11, forward strand.
ACACCAGGACTCCCTGCAGACCATCCTCAGACCCCAGGTTAGGAATTTCCATCTGGAAGCTGATACTCAAAAATAAATTCTGAGGCAGCCTCCCTATTCAAACTGTGGGGCTCAGGGCAAATTCAAAGTAATAAAGTAATAACCTCTCACACGAGTGCTGTGCTCGACAACTCACAATACACGTTCACGTACATTGCTGGGATAGACCCTAGGGTCTGGATTATAATCGAATAAAGGAGGTCAAGGCCCAGAGAGGTCCAGTGACTTGCTCAAGGTCACACAGCCAATCTGGGCAAAGTCACTCCAGACTCTCTTACCTTCATGGGGCCTCACAGAAGCCCAACACAATTTGCCCACCAGTGGGGAAGATGCAATGGAGAACAGGTTGCATTTGGCCCCTGGGGAAACTGGTCCTGGCTGTGTTCAGCCGGCTCCTGCCGCTGCTCCACAGAGGCACACCCAGCTTGGCCTCTGTGGTGAGCTGTGGTGAGCTGTGGTGAGCTGTGGTTTGAGCAGCCTCCCTCCTAACGAAGGCAGAGAGAAGGCCAGGTTGTCAGGCTGTGTCTTGTGAGAAGGAGGGAACCAGAGGAGGGGCAACGGCAGAAACCAGACCTGAAGCCTGAACCCCAGGAACCCAGGGGACAAAGACTCCCTGGCCACCACTTGTCCCAAGACTGCAGACACCTCACTGGCCAGGAGCATACAAGCAGGAGTATACAATGTGGCCGGGGGTGCATAGGAGTCAGGATACAGAGCCATGTTCTGTGTGTATGATGTTCACATACAGGAGCCAGACTTGACCATGGGAGACCAGTTTTTAAGTTTCCAAGGAATTCTTGCTCCCTAAACATGTACTTGACCCAGAAAACTCTTCAGCCTTCAAGGCCCAACTCCCTCCACGAAGAATCTGTCCAGTGTCTGATGACTAAAGGCCCTGGATTCAGATCCAGCTTAGGCACCGCCTGGTCATTATCTGACTTCTCTACAGACTGTGCCTCTAGTAGGCTGGAGCCCTGGACTCAACTCAATATTTCACCCCTGCCCCTAGCAATAGGGGGTCAATGGACATTTGTTCAATAAGCTCTAGACACCAGAAAGGGTGAACTGTCTCTTGGCTTCAGTTGTTCTGTGACTTCAGGCTAAATCCAAAACCTCTGCGGTCAAAGAAGGCCATTGCCACCCCTCCCCACCCTGTTCCCTCTTAGGTGGAAGGCAATTGTGGCCCTTAGAAACCCTCTGAAGAAGCATCTAACAGCTTTTCTCAGGCCGAAATGGGAGAGGGTGAAGGTTTAGGAAAGAAAACGGTCATTCTTATGTCTTTCCCCAAACCAGATGATTTCCCTTTGTTCCAAACAGTTGGCAAAGACGTCTGGGCAGAGAAAGGGTCCTGACTTGATGCACTGCTCTGCAGGCAGCTGGGTGACTCCGGCCTCTGTTGGTTTGCAGCCTGGGCCAGGGCTGGGGAGTTGCTGAGGGGTGGGCTCAGGCTCACAGTAGGTAGGCTGCTGCTTGGGCTTTCAACTATTACCTCTGATCACAATGAATTCATGAATTTATATTAGTTTGATGCATATCTCTTCCACTGGACTTCCAACCTCTGGAGCGCAGGAACCACACTGTATTTAATTCTGGAGCCTCAGGGCCTGGCACAATGTCAAGCACACAGTAAGTGCTCAGTAAGTGCTAGAGACAAAAACGCACTGCAGCCTCCCTGCCAGCCTGATTTCTGGAGCATCCCTGACTCTCTTAATGGAAAGAGCTTCTCAGAGCTTCCCAAGCTGACTAGAGGAGGGACTGTCATGGTCATGGGCCCTGCTTCCCTCTTATAGTTCTCTTAGCTGGAAGGCAGGATCCTTCTCCTCTGAGCTGCTTCTGAGGCCACTTATTTGTTTATTTCCAAACCCAAAAATGCTTCTTAGGTTTTGCTGCCACCTGACTTGAAGCTCTGACCACCCCAGTGCTACTTCTGCTCTGCCCCATCCAGACATCAAGCGAGATTCATTCCCCCAGCCTCAGACAAACCACACCCCTATCACAACCGTAACTATTCTTAGCAGAGCAGGAAGGGGGGCGCTGCCGAATGACCTCGCTGCCTATAGAGACTTCACCTCCACCCACCCTTCACTCACCCGGTGTCACTTCCCCCTTTTAATAACAACAACACTGACACCAAGTTTCACTTCCACCACTTCCTGTGGGTTTTGTTCATCCTCAGCTGCTGAGGTTTCTAGAGGGTGGGTGAGTCTCTGGCCCAGCTGCAGGAAGGTCCCTCTGACTATAAACTCTACCCCTAAGCATTTAGAGGCTTGCCCTTCAGTCCTCAGACACATTCACCTTTCTTTTTTTTTGCTTTTTTTTTTTGTTTTTTTTTTTGAGGTAGAGTCTCACTCTGCTGCCCAGGCTGGAGTGCAGTGCAGTGGCACGATCTTGGCTCGCTGCAACCTCTGCCTCCCAGCTTCAAGTGATTCTCCTGTCTCAGCTTCCTGAGTAGCTGGGATTACAGGCATGTGCCACCATACCTGGCTAATTTTTGTATTTTTAGTAGAGGCAGTATTTCTCCATGTTGGCCAGGCTGGTCTTGAACTCCTGACCTCAGCCTCCCAAAGTGCTGGGATTATAGGTGTGAGCCACCGCACCTGGCCACATTCTCCTTTTTTTTCTTTTTTTTTTTTTTCCAGACAGAGTTTTGCTCTTGTTGCCCACGCTGGAGTGCAATGGTGTGATCTCAGCTCACCGCAACCTCCGCCCTCTGGGTTCAAGCGATTCTCCTACCTCAGCCTCCCAAGTAGCTGGGATTACAGGCATACACCACGACACCCGGCTAATTTTGTATTTTTAGTAGAGACGGGGTTTCTCCATGTTGGTCAGGCTGGTCTTGAACTCCTGACCTCAGGTGATCCGCCTGCCTTGGCCTCCCAAAGTGCTGGGATTACAGGCATGAGCCACCACACTTGGCCCACATTCTCCTTTTTTAAAGCTGTCCAGAATAGGGGATTCTCCATCCTTCCCTGGGTCAGAATCCCAATATCTGATCCAAGTTCATCCTGTTGACTAACCCAAATCTCTCCTGCTATTAGGGTTGCCATATTTTGCAAGTAAAAATACAGAACACAGAACACCCATTTAAATTTGAATTTCAGATAAACAATGAATAGAAGGCCAGGGGCAGTGGCTTATGCCTGTAATCCCAGCACTTTGGGAGGCTGAGGTGGGCGGATCATGAGGTCAGGAGTTCGAGACCAGCCTGATCAACATGGTGAAACCCTATCTCTACTAAAAATACAAAAATTAGCCGCGTGTGGTGGCGTGCGCCTGTAATCCCAGCTACTCAGTAGGCTGAGGCAGGAGAATTGCTTGAACCCAGGAGACGGAGGTTGTAGTGAGCCGAGACTGTACCACTGTACTCCAGCCTGGGCAAAAGAGCAAGACTCCGTCTCAAAAAAAAAAAAAACAAAAAAAAAAATGAATAACTTTTTAGTTAAGCATGTCCTGTGTAATATTATACTAAAAAAAAATTCATTGTTTATCGGAAATTCAAATGTAACTGGACATCCTTTCTTTTATCTGGCAACCCCCTGCCTGCTGTATTCCTTCTCTTTTTGTTTGGAGACAGTCTTACTGTGTCACCCAGGCTAGAGAGCAGTGGTGTGATCTCAACTCACTGCAGCCTCAACCTCCTAGGCTCAAGGGATCCTCCCACCTCAGCCTCCCAGATAGCTGGGATTACAGGCACATACCACCATGCTCAGCTAATTTTTGCATTTTTAGTAGAGATGGGGTTTCGCCATATAGCCCAGGGTGGTCTTGAACTCCTGGCCTCAAGTGATCCACCCGCCTCATCCTCCCAGAGTGCTGGGATTACAGGCGTGAGTCGCTGCACCCAACCTTGTATTCCTTCGCATGAAAGCAGCAGTTCTCAACCATTTTGATCTCAGGATCTCTTTACACTGTTAGAAATTATTGAGGACACCCAAAGAAGCTTTGTTGATGTGGGTGAATGATAGCTACTGGTATTTACCATATTAGAAAGGCAAACAGACATTTTAAAAGTAGTAATTAAGGCCAGGCGCGGTGGTTCAAACCTGTAATCCCAGCACTTTGGGAGGCCAAGGCGGGTGGATCACTTGAGGTCGGGAGTTCCAGACCAGCCTGGCCAACATGGAGAAACCCCCGTCTCTACTAAAAATACAAAAATTACCCAGGCATGGTGGCAGGCGCCTGTAATCCCAGCTACTTGGGAGGCTGAGGCAGGAGAATCGCTTGAAGCCGGGAGGTGGAGGTTGCGGTGAGCCAAGATCTCACCATGGCACTCCAGGCTGGGCAACAAGAGCAAAACTCCATCTCAAAAAAAAAAAAGAAGAATACAAAAATTAGCCGGGCATGGTGGCACATGCCTGTAATCCCAGCTACTCAGGAGGCTGAGGCAGGAGAATCACTTGAACCTGGGAGGCGGAGGTTGCAGTGAGCCGAGATCACGACACTGCACTCCAGCCTGGGTGACAGAGTAAGTCTCAAAAAAAGAAAAAAAAGCAGGAATTAAGATAACAGTAATATCTCATTATGTACATATGTACAAAAAATAATTTTTCAAAACAAAAAAAATTATTGAGGAGAGTGGCATTGTTCTACATTATTTTACAAATATTTTTTGATTTTTCAATTTTAAATTATGTTAAAAAACATAACATAAAATTACCATCTTAACCATTTTTTTTTTTTTTTGAGACTGAGTCTCACTCTGTCGCCCAGGCTGGAGTGCAGTGGTGCGATCTCAGCTCACTGCAAGCTCTGCCTCCTGGGTTCAAGCGATTCTCCTGCCTCAACCTCTCGAGTAGCTGGGACTATAGGTGCCCACCACCACGAGCGGCTAATTTTTTGTATTTTTAGTAGAGACAGCGTTTCACCGTGTTAGCCAGGATGGTCTCAATCTGCTGATCTCGTGATCCACCCGCCTCAGCCTCCCAAAGTGCTGGGATTACAGGCGTGAGCCACCGTGCCCAGCCCATCTTAACCATTTTTAAGCATATAGTTCAATAGTGTTAAATATATTCATCAATTGAGACCAGAAGGTCAAGGCTGCAGTGAACCATGATTGCGCCACTGCACTCCAGCCTGGGCGACAGAGTGAAACTCTGCCTCAAAAAAATAAATAAATATATTCACACAATTGTGCAGAGGTAGATTCTTATACCTCCAACTGCTGCATTTGGTATGTTGTAATATCACACACCGTGAATCTCTGGAAAACTCCACTGTACACTCATGAGAGAATGAGAGTGAAAAAGGCAAATGATGTTTCCTTATTATTAGTAAAACAGTTCTAGGCCTATAATCCAGCACTTTGGGAGGCCAGGTTGGGTGGATCACTTGAGTCCAGGAGTTCGAGACCAGCCTCGAGGGCAACATAGTAAGGCCCTGTCTCTACAAAAAGTACAAAAAATTAGCCAGGGGTGGTGGCACGTGCCTGTGGTCTCACCTGAGCCCAGGAAGTCAAGGCTGCAGTGAGCCATGATCACACCACGGCACTCCAGCCTGGGTGACAGAGCGAGACCCTGTCTCATAACACCACCACCACCAACAACAAACCCCACTTCTGACTGTGTGTACCTTCTGAAAAGATTTGGGGAGCCCCCAGGGGTTCCCCCAGGGGTTCCTGGACCACACTTGGAGAACCAGTGCTCTAGCACAATGCCAGAGACTTCAGTGGTGATCGGTATCTACTCCTTTGCCCCGCAAGTTAATTTGGGATGGGGGATGATGTGACACCACACACATAATTTAATGTAATTCCAAGCTGTTCTTTTTTCTGAGATGAGTGGTGCAGATGTGGGGAATCTTGGGGCTAGAGAGACTGCCCCAAAAGGCCTGGGTATGGGACTCAGTTGTGAGGTGGACCAAGCTGACTTAGCTGTGAAGGACAGAACTGCAGTTCTGTGTTCCTGGAGCCTTAAAGAGGCATCTAAAGAAAGTCAACCCTGCTAGGCGGAAAGACAGAATGGGTGAGCCTGGTGGGAGGCCAGGGTCAAGGAGCCAGCCGTGTGCTGCCCACCCCACCCCCAACCATGACTGGCGAGGGAGGGAGTTGACCAACTCCACTCCTCACCCCTACCTGGCATCTGTCTGCCTATTCTTTTTTTTCCCCCTTTTTGTGGAGAATGGGGTCTTGAGATATTGACCAGGCAGGTTTTGAACTCCTGGGCTCAAGCTACCTTCCGCCTCTGCCTCCCTAAGTGCTGGGATTACAGGTGTGAGCCACCACGCCCAGTCTGTCTGCCCATTCTGACCCTCGTGGGCATTTCCAGCAAGGGCTGGGACAGCAAGGCTAACATTGCTTATGAGGAATGACTTGGGCTCTCAAATATCTGCTCTACTAACTCTGCCCCTGGGCCCAGGCGTGCAGAGCCCCACAGCTGGGGGGCTTATTCCTTGACTGACCAATCCAGTGACGCAAGAGTGGGGACCGAAAACAGCCAGTTTTCAGTGTAGCCACGTCAACACAAGCAGTCCCATGACAACCAGCTCCAGTGGAACTGGGGCGTCTTACTACACACACCCTTGGCACACTCACCTCTGTGCTGTTTTTTTTTTTTTTCTTTTTGAGATGGAGTTTTTGCTCATGTTGCCTAGGGTGGAGGGCAATGGTGCGATCTCGGCTTACCTCAACCTCTGCCTCCCGGGTTCAAGCAATTCTCCTGCCTCAGCCTCTCGAGTAGCTGGGATTACAGGCATGTGCCTGGCTAATTTTGTATTTTTAGTAGAGACGGGGTTTCTCCGTGTTGGTCAGGCTGGTCTCGAACTCTCGACCTCAGGTGATCCGCCCGCCTTGGCCTCCCAAAGTGCTAGGATTATAGGCGTGAGCCACAGTGCCCAGCCACCTCTGTGCTGTTAACATCCATCCTGTAGGTGTTAGTTTATGGCCCCAACTTTATTATAAGTAAATTCCTTGAAGGAGGGGACGTGCCTCAATTGCTTCTGTATTTTCCATGGCACCTAGAACAATAGTAAGGTCTTAATAAATGTTGATGTGTTTATTAGGGAATGGGTTTTCACTTGATTTAACTATCAAGTTCCCCTTTATAAGGGGCTGGGGCCAGGAAAGCGGGTGGAGGCCCTTTATTAAACATTTATTGAGTACCTGTTCTCACTCCTTAGGTTTTCTCCAGTGATGTATTGCTTAAAAAGCATGTTCATGTGTTGTCTCATTTAATCCTTGCAGTAATGTGATGGGTGTGAGCTGACTGTGAAAGTGACTCTCTAAGTCATTGCAATGCACTCTGTGGGAAGAATGTGCTAGCCCAGCAAGGCTGTCTTTGTGATGTCCGATGTGTACGTGCGTGGGGAGGCGCTCCCAAAAGCTGCGCTGGGGCAGGGTGTCCTGAACGGCGTTACCAGATGTATCTTGACAAAGAGGTTGGCACCACCATGAAGACCAATTCAACCAGCTCTCCTAGCCCAGCTTCCATGCTCTTCAAGGAGACTTCCCACTGAACTTCCGAATACCCTTGTGTGAAACTGCCACAGGCAGTGAATGTGCTCATCAGCAAACCCAAGTATCTGGTTGGTTTGACAGGGGTTTTGTTATTCATTAGAAATGAATGAATTGGCATGTTGGCTGAATCCATTCCTCTCCTAGAGCTCAGTGAGTCTGCTCCTGAGCCTCCTAGCCTGTTGATAAGCAAGGTTTCTGAGCAGCAAAGTGAGGCTGCTCACTTTGGCAAACAGGTCTTCAGGTGAGCCCGGCCACCATGTGAGGCCCTGTTGGCAGGCCAGGCTCTCCCCAGGCCCCACCTGGCCTCACCAATGGCTCTTGGATTCACAGAGGACTGCACATTGGACTGGGAGACAGGGCAAGCCAGGGGTCCCTTAGCAGAGAAGGGATCCCTGCCAGTAACTAGCCTGCTGTGAGTATGAAGTTGCCACTTACCAAGGACCCTCCTGATGGACACAACAAAGGCGATGGGTGATTGCTGCCAGGGCTCATAAAGAGGTGATTCAGAATCTAGCTGGGGGAACTTTGAAAGGTCATTGCACCTTGACCCTAGCTTCCAGGCGGGACATGTGGTGAGTTCTGCTGCAATGGCTGGGTGCCCTCACAGGCCAGAGCTCAGGTTAATGCAGCTCAGAGCTCGAATTCTGATCACAGGAAGAGAATGGTGAGGAGGATGGAGGCAGGGGTGCTGGCTGGGCCCAGAACACCAAAGGCAGAGCTGAACACTTCCACTGGGAAGTGGGGGTTTTGGCCTCTTGGGCTGGGAAATTCCTGGCCGGCACTGTCTGTTTATCAGGGAAGCTGAGTCAGACTGAAACGTATCTCCTAAAAAGCTCTGCTATTTCTAGGATTCCATCCGGTCAAAGCCAGCCTCCTCTTCCCTGGGGAATTCCTTTGAGGGTGGAGAGATAGAGGGGACAGACTGGCCTTTTCCTAGACATGGAAACCTGAAATCTGAGTTTTTGCCCATTTATGGACCTGAAATCCCCTCCCCCACCTAGGATGACTCATCCCCCAGCTTGACCCAACTGCCCCTAGAGAGGGGAAAGGGTGAAACTGAGATGGTGGGATTAGCTCAGGGAGGGGGTTGGAGGCTGGAAAGAGAAAGGAAAAGACAACTGAAAAGGATGGGGAATTCCTTTGCAAAGAGATGGTGAGGAGAGGATTTCAGAGCCAAAAAGAGGCAGAATGAGAAAGAGAGAAAGATTTTCATCCCAGAGGGAAGCTGCATGCCTGGCAGAGTAAAAATCTTCCAGGTTAAGGTAGGTTCAGGCCCTCACCTTGAGTAAATTCTGGAACTTTAGTGTGATCAGAGCCACTTGCCGTGCTTGTGAAAATGCAGAGATTCCCGTGCCCTCCCTGGGCTGTGATCCGCTTCCAGGCTCCTTCAGGGATCTGAAGTAGGAAGTTCTGAAACACAGAAAGAGGATTGACTGGGAATCCTTCTCCCAACCTGGGGCCTCTGCTGTATAAAGCGACTCACAACCCCTCTGCAGGTGCCAATGTCAGAGGCAGAGCCCTGGTCCAAGGGTGACGTTTCTAACATTCTTATAAAAATCTGTGAAAGACTTTGGCCAGGCCCAGTGGCTCAAGCCTGTGATCCCAGCACTTTAGGAGGCTGAGGCAGGTGGATCTCTTGAGGTGAGGAGTTCGAGACCAGCCTGGCCAACATGGCAAAACCCGTCTCTACTAAAAATACAAAAAAATTAGCTGGGTGTGGTGGCATGCACCTGTAGTCCCAGCTACTGGAGGAGCAGGGGGGCGCTGAGGTGGAGGATCGCTTGTGCTCAGGAGGTCGAGGCTGCAGTAAGCTGAGATTGCACCATTGTACTCCAGCCTGGGCCACAGAGTGAGATCCTGTGTCAAAAAAAAAAAAGACTTTTTATCGGATGGAGAAAGCCAGTCCCCACCAGGCCAAATATGCCTCCTCATTGCAGCACTGCCCACCTCCCCACATAATCATATCAGAGAAGCTTTGGAAAGAACTGCTTTCCTAGTCAATACAATCCTAGGATCTTTACAGCCAGAAGGGACTTCTTCAGGTATCATCTGGCGGGATTTTTCACCTGAAGCAGAAATTCCTTCTAGCAACAACCCCCACATCTCTATCTCCAACCCAAATCTCTCAAACTCCAGGCTCCTCATACCACTTATCTTTGCCTGGAGGCCTAAGTGCCTCTGACTTCACCTCACACCTCCTCCATCTGCAAGTCTTCCCCGACCCAGCTAATGGACACTCTACCCTCCAAGTTTCTCAGGCCAGAGACCATGGAGTGATTCTTGGTTTCTCTCTTTCTTTCATACCCTACATCTAATCCATCAGGAAAGCCTGTTGGCTCTAGCTTCAGAATATGTCAGAAATCTGACAACTTGTCATTTCTTTACTACTGACTCCAGTCCAAGCCCCATTACCTCTTTCCAGAATTGGACAATGTCGACCCTCCCATGGCTAGTCTCAACAAGCAGAAGAATTTTTTTTAATTCTATCTCAAAAAAAAAAAATGTCATTCCTTTGCTCAGAACTTCCTGGTGGTTGGCAATTTCATTCTGAATAAAAGCCACAGCCCATGTAATGGTTCACAAGGCCCTGTGTAATCTACCTTCCCCACCCTTGTTACCTCTCCTGACACGTCTTCTGCTACTCTCTCATGCACTCTGCTCCAGCATCAATGGCTGTTCTAGAACTTGCAACCTGCTCTTGCCTTGAGGCCTTTGCAATGGTTGTTCCCTCCACCCTGAACACTGTTCCCCCAGATAGCCACATAGCTAGCTCCACCCCCAACCCCTGCCACCAGGTTTTTATTCAAATGCCACCTTCTCAGGAAGGCCTTCTCTGATCACCCTTATTTAAAATTTCAATCCTGTCTCCTCTCCATCCCCATACCCCATCCTTATTATTAGTATTTTCCTAATTCTTATCATGACTATTTATTTATTTTTTGATATGGAGTCTTGCTCTATCGCTCAGGCTGGAGTGCAGTGGCACTATCTTGGCTCACTGCAACCTCTGCCTCCCGGGTTCAAGCTACTCTCCTGCCTCGGCCTCCTGAGTAGCTGGGATTACGGGCGCCTGCCACCATGCCCAGCTAATATTTGTATTTTTAGTAGAGACAGGGTGTCACCATGTTGGCCAGGCTGGTCTCGAACTCCTGACCTCAGGTGATCCTGCCTTTCTCTGCCTCCCAAAGTGCTGGGATTACAGGCATGAGCCACCATGCCAGGTCTATTTATTTATTTACTTATGAGACAGCGTCTCACTTTGTTGCCCAGACTGGAATACAGTGGTGCAATCTCTGCTCACTGCAACCTCTGCCTCCCGGGCTCAAGCAATCTTCCCACCTCCACCTCCCAAGTAGCTGGTACTACAGGTGTGTGCTACCATTCCTGACTAATTTTTCTTCTTTCTTTCTTTTTAGAGATAGGTTCTCACTCTCTTGCCCAGGCTGGAGTACAGTGGTACAATCTTGGCTTACTGCAGCCTTGACCTCCCAGGCTCAAGCAATCCTCCCACCTCATCCTCCCGAGTAGCTGAGACTACAGATGTGAACCACCACACCCGTCTAACTTTTGCATTTTTTTGTAGAGACAGGGTTTGGCCATGTTGCCCAGGCTGGTCTGGAACTCCTGGACTCAAGTGACCTGCCTGCCTTGACCTCCCAGAATGCTGGGACTATAGGCTTGAGCCACTGTGCCTGGCCATGGCCTTTTAATATACTATATCATTTACTTATTTACTATACTTGTCTTTCTCCACTAGAATGGATGCCCCATAAGACAAAAATCTCAGTTTTGTTCACAGATGTATCTCCAGAGCCTGGAACAGTATACACTGTTGGCACTCAGTAAATACTGAATGAATGACTGAATGACTGAATGAACATCATACTTTTTTTTTTTTTTTTTTGAAACAGAGTCTTGCTCTGTCCCCATGGCTGGAGTGCAGTGGTGTGATCTTGGCTCACTGCAATCTCCACATCCTGGTTTCAAGTGACTCTCTTGCCTCAGCCTCCTGCATAGCTGGGATTACAGGCACACGCCACCACACCTGGCTAATTTTTGTAATTTTAGTAGAGACTGGGTTTCATCATGTTGGCCAGGCTGGTCTCGAACACCTGACCTCAAGTGACCCACCTGCCTCAGCCTCCCAAAGTGCTGAGATTACAGGCATGAGTCACTGCGCCCGGCCTGCATGAATGTCCTATGTAGGTGGTTGCCTTATCAAGCTGAATCTAGTGTCTCAGTAGCCCCCACTCACTGGTCCTGGTCCTGGTCCTTGTCCTGGTCCTGCTCTCTGAGCCATGGCCTGTACATCTATTCTCTTTTCCAGAAGATCAACCGTGTCATCTATTATGTGATTCCCACCCACTCCCCTTCCCCTACTTTAAAAGTGCCCAGACTCTTCAGCTAAGACCCAGGACTCTTCCTTTGTCCTGGGTCCATCCTTGTCCTCAAGACATGTGTGGGCTATCAGTCAGCGGGCTTCAGATTCTGACTCGCAGAGCTGAAGTCCGCCTCTAGAAGCTCTACTGGAGTGTGGGCACTGTGCTTTGCAGAGGACTGTTGCTTCCCAACAGTGCTCTGGATCACTGTCTCCCCTCTCACTTTATCTGCCCAAGGAGGGCCCAAGGCAGCTGATGGGATGGAGCAGGGGGAGAGGTGAAGGGGTCATCTTGATGGTGGGTACTAACATGCTGCTGCAGTTTCCCTCCCTCTACACAGAGGACTGCCTGGACTTGCCCCGGGAAAGGGCTGAGGATGGGGAGAGGATTCCTACCAGGATTTCATGGTCCTGGTTGCAGAAGGCCCTTTGCTGTCTCTCAAAGCTGCTTCCCCACCTCCCCCAACCCTCGTCATCATCTGGGTTCTTCACATTCCGGAAGCACTGATGTGGCACTAAATATTCCTGCAGCTTCAGCCTTCTCCCTTGGGGGCCCACGTCATCGCTGTGAGCCTGGTTTCTGGAATGTTTTTGATATGAAGCATCCAGGCAGGTGAGGGGAAGGGCTGTGCAGGGTGGGATCCACAGTCCCTCATCTAGGTCTCTTTGGAACCAAGAAAATAGACATTCTCTTCCAGCTCAGATTTTCTTTCCCCAGAAGGCTTCCCCCACATCCACCCCCTCACCTTGCCCACCCTTCCCTCCACCTGGCTTAGAAGAGGTTACATAAGCAGATGCAGGAGGACACAGATGTTAGGACCGAATGGTTATGTTAGGACACAGATGTTAGGACTCTCCTTTCCTGAAAGTCCACCTCCCCCAGCCCCTGCTGAGATAGCACTGATGGAAAGGGCTGTGTCCTCTCCCTCCCTCCCCATTCCACACCCTGCGCGTCCCTTAGGTACAGGCTTTCCCTCCACTGTGTCCTCCTCTCCTCCATCCCCTCCAATTCTAGTCCTGTCCCTCACCCTTCAGCTTCTCGCCGGGCGCAGTGGCTCATGCCTGTAATCCCAGCACTTTGGGAGGCAGAGGCAGGCGGATCATGAGGTCAGGATATCGAGATCATCCTGGCTAACATGGTGAAACCCCGTCTCTACTAAAAATACAAAAAATTAGCCGGGCGTGGTGGTGGGCGCCTGTAGTCCCAGCTACTTGGGAGGCTGAGGCAGGAGAATTGCGTGAGCCCGGGAGGCGGAGCTTGCAGTGAGCCGAGATCACACCACTGCACTCCAGCCTGGGTGACAGAGCGAGACTCTGTCTCAAAAAAACAAACAAACAAAAAAACACTCTTCTGCTTCTCCCACTCACTCTCTCTCTCTCTCTCTTTTTTTTTTTTTTTTTTTTTTTGAGACTGAGTCTTGCTGTCACCCAGGCTGGAGTGCAGTGGCGCAGTCTAGGCTCACTGCAACCTCTGCCTCCCGGGTTCAAGCAATTCTCCTGCCTCAGGCTCCCAAGCAGCTGGGACTACAAACATGCTCCACCATGCCTGGCTAATTTTTTTTGTATTTTTAGTAGAGACGAGGTTTCACCATGTTGGCCAGGCTGGTCTCGAACTCCTGACCTCAGGTGATCCATCCACCTTGGCCTCCCAAAGTGCTGGGATTACAGGCATGAGCCACCACGCCTGGCCTCACTCTCTTCTTTCTTAGCTTTCTCTTGGGGCTTGTGGAGACTAGGAAAGGGCACTTGGGAAATTGGCATATTCCTTGTGCCTGCAAAAGAACCTGGCATATAATGGATGCTCATATAATAAATATTTATAAATAAACCTGGCATATAAATTTATAGTTCCTTCACTTACATTCTTTTATCCAATTCTCCAAACACCATGCCATTCAAGTGAGTCTGTGGGATGCCAAACCTGGGTTTGAGGTCTGATTTCTCCATTTGCTATCAAGTTCCTTTTTTTTGAGACAGAGTCTTGTTCTGTTGCCCAGGCTGGAGTGCAGTGGCACAATCTCAGCTCACTGCAACTATCGCCTCCCAGGTTCAAGGGATTTTCCTGCCTCAGCCTCCCGAGTAGCTGGGCCTAGAGGAGTGCGCCACCATGACCGGCTAATTTTTTGTATTTTTAGTAAAGTCAGGATTTCACCATGTTGGCCAGGCTGGTCTCGAGCTCCTGACAAGTGATGCTTCTGCCTCGACCTCCCAAAGTGCTGGGATTACAGATGTGAGCCACTGCGCCTGGCCTACTTAATGTTTTTGAGTCTCCATTTCTTTTATAAAATGAGAATGATAGAAATAGTACTGAACTAACAAGACTATCGTGAGCATTACATGAGGTAACACACCTAAAGGGCTTGACCCATAAGCACTTAGTGAATGGTAGCCCCTATTATTATCTCCGAAGATGCAATTCTTTCCATCATCCAAACTCCCTTTTTCTTCTTTTTTTTTTTTTTTGAGACCAGGCTGGAGTGCAGTGGTGCGATCTCTGCTCACTGCAAGCTCCGCCTCCTGGGTTCACGCCATTCTCCTGCCTCAGCCTCCTGAGTAGCTGGGACTACAGGCGCCCGCCCCCGCGCCCGGCTAATTTTTTATATTTTTAGTAAAGACGGGGTTTCACCGTGTTAGCCGTGATGGTCTCGATCTCCTGACCTTGTGATCCGCCCACCTCTGCCTCCCAAAGTTCTGGGATTACAGGCATGAGCCACCGCGCCGTCCCCAAACTCCCTTTCAACATGATCTGAACCAATAACAATTTCTCACTGAATTGCATGCTACCTTACCCACAGCCTGTAACCTCCTTGAGGCTAAGATCTCTGTTTTTTTTTTTTTTTTTTTTGCACCAGGGATACAGCAATTACCTCTGTCTTCTACTAAGCTTAGCACACAAAAGGGCTTGATTCATGAGAGGAATGAATAAAGGAGCACTGCTACCCCCACAGCTGAACTCTAAGCTTCTGGAGATAAACCCACCCCCTGGATTTTTTCCATGTTTACCCAGAGTCTAGCCCAGAGTTCCAGCACTGAGTAGGACCTCAGAGACTTAAGACCTAAGTACTCCAGTGTCGCCTAAGCAATGTCTTGTTTGCTCTCCCATCTTGACCTCATAGTTGCCTTGCCCTCCCCATCTCCTTTGCAGACTAGTGACTTTGCCAGCTCAGCTCTCCAGGTGTGGGAGGGGAGGTCCAACGCGCTCCACTGGGCAGGCACCGACAGCCGGCAGGACAGGTGTGTTGTGGGGCCAGAGCCAGAGCTGGGGACGTTTGGAGGCCTCCTGTGACTACCAGAGTGGGTCGGGGTGGGGGAGGGAGGCTGCCTGAAGCCAGAGCCAGCCGGCTGCTGGCCGGCACTTTGTCCTCATCCTCCCTTTCATCCCCAGCCCTCGGAGCCTGGGAGTTTCTCAATGGAGCAGGCGTGTGGGGAATGCTCTGCAGGGGGCTGAGGGAGTTGGCGTACGGTGGGGGTGGACATTCCAGGCATTCTTTGCTTTCTCTGGGAGTCAGGCAGTGAGGACGGAGGGGGGAAAAGCTGCCCAGCACCAGAGTAAAGGGGATTTCTTAGGAGGGAGAGAATAAAGGCTGTGGGGGTGTCTTTACGCAGCAGGAGCAGGGCTCAAGCAGACAGGAGCAGGGGTGGGAGGAGAAGGAGGCAGGTGGTGGGGGCAGGGTGGGATAATCTGCCAAATCCACTTCTACTTTAGTGCCAAAGGCCGGAAGAGCAACTGGGACCCTGGGCCCAGGGCCTTCCCACCTGTGTGCTTAATAGGGTCAGGCCAGAGCTACTGAGCTCACGTTTGTTTTGATTCGGCAGTTTTTCTATTTCCCATCCCTGGCAGCCTAGGGGAACGAGTATTAGGAGAAGGCTCAAAAACCTGCTCAGCACCATCCCTCCCCACCTCAGTCACCAAAGAGAACAGCAGGGCCTGCTTCCAATCACCTTTCTGGTTTTAATGGTACTTTTTGGCCACGGAGGTCCATTAGGTAGAGACCATTAGGTAAAGAGACTCAAGAGTGTGGAGTGGAGTGTGGGGGGTTGTGGGAGGAGGTGGAAATAGTTGCAAAAATATCTCTCTGTACACAAAACTTAGATGTCATAGTGGATTTTCCCAGAACATAGCATTCACATTATTGAAAACAGCAAGATTCACTTTTCCTAAAACACAAAGCCAAGAACATAAAAATAAATATGGACATTCTAGAGTCCTGAAGGCCTAGAGAACACATCCATAGTCTGGACTTTAGAGCAGCTTAGAGGCAGAAGTTCTGAGTCACTGAGGTCCAAGGTGGA
Source organism: Homo sapiens (assembly GCF_000001405.40). Classification (NCBI taxonomy): domain Eukaryota; kingdom Metazoa; phylum Chordata; class Mammalia; order Primates; family Hominidae; genus Homo; species Homo sapiens. Next base: position 205,302,424 of record NC_000001.11, read on the forward strand.
GTCCAGAGGAGGCTGGGCCCCTTGAGATGAAGTCCACACAGCAGGCGGAGGCTTTTCAAGTCTTTCAGATTCACAGCAGCAACTTCAGGAGGCTCAGGCCAGGTTTGGAGGATGGAAAAGGGAAGAGAACCATTGAAGAAACAGAGATTGTGTTCTCTTACTCCTAGGCTAAATAAGGAAGGGTTAGGTGGGGCGCGGTGGCTCACGCCTGTAATCCCAGCACTTTGGGAGGCCGAGGTGGGTGGATCACCTGAGGTCGGGAGTTTGAGACCAGCCTGACCAACATGGAGAAACCCTGTCTCTACTAAAAATACAAAATTAGCCGGGCATGGTGGCGGGCGCCTGTAATCCCAGCTACTAGGGAGGCTGAGGCAGGAGAATCGCTTGAACCCGGGAGGCGGAGGTTGAGGTGAGCTGAGATCGCGCCATTGCACTCTAGCCTGGGCACCAAGAGCGAAACTCCGTCTCAAAAAAATAAATAAATAAATAAAAATAAAAATAAAAATAACGAAGCGTTACTCCAGACCATTCCCAGGATGCCTCATGCACATTAGGGGTGCCACCATCCAGTTCTGGTGGTTGGTAGGAACGGGAATGTGTGTGTAAAGAGGTCTGGCCCCACTTGGGCAGGGAATGAGTAGGGAAGGAGCTGTCCTTAGAAGGCACCATGTGTACAGAGTATTCATGGGATGCAGGAGATGGGCCCTGGGAGAGTTCTCTTTCCAGGTCTCTGTGGCCCCCCCATGTACACAAGAAACAGGCAATGTGGACTCTGTCGCGGGCATTCCCGTTCCCCTCTCTTTAGTATCCTCTTCGTTCAGCAGGGCTGAAGACAGACACTGAACCCTTGGCGCATTTCATTTGCCTACTTCCCATATCCAGCCCTGCTCAGGGCTCCACTGCAAACCCTCTCAGCCTTCTGAGCTGGGATGCAGGTCCTGGGAGGTGGGGGAGAAGGCATCTCCCCTCGGGGTGCAACCAGCTGCATCTGAGAGCCTGACCGGGCTGGGGCAATGCCTACTCCACTCAGGTGAGCTTTGAGCAGACCCTCAGTGCCTGTCGGTAGGTCGCTGTCACCTCCTGGCAGTCTGTCAGGGAAAAGCAGCTGTCCCCCAAAGGATCCTGCCGCCAGCGCCTCAGGCAGCTTCCAGGGCCCTCTGAGGGGGGCTCCTCAAGCCCCGTGAGGTTGTCCACAGACACACAGCCCCGCAGTGGGGGCTCTGGGAGCCGTTCAGGCAAGTCCAGCTGGTCAAAGGACTCAGAGGACAGGATGCTGTCCTCGCTCACAGCCCCTGAGGGTCGGCTGGCCCGGGCCAGGGGGCGAGGTGGGGCGAGTTCATCCAGGGAGCCGAAGGTGGTGGGGGCCGCGAGCTCCAAGGCTGTCTGGGAGAACTTGCCATTGAGTTTGAGGATGCCTTTGCGATGGAGGAGCAGCCCTGAAGCTTGCGGAGGCTTCTGCTCCTTGGGATCCCCACTCACAAACACGTCGCCTGCGTCCAAGAGCTCCCCAGATTCACTGGGCTCGGGAGAGGAGTAGTAGCCAGACTCGCGCTGTCGGGGCTTCTTGAGAATGCCCTTCTTGGGGAGCAGGGGGGCAGCCTGCCCTGGGCTCGCAGGGATTGGGCTGAGCTCCGGAGGGTCCTCCTGTACCCCTTCTGCAGAGGCTGACACCTTCTTCTTGAGAATGCCCTTTGGCAGCTTGAGGTTGCTCTTGCCAGGGCGATGGGCAGTGTCATCAGCCGTGTCACTGTGGAGAGACTGGGCCATGTCATTCTCCTTGCGGGACTTCTTGAGCGAATGCTGGCGCTCCAGGCCAGGGGTGGTGCTTCCCCCACCAGGTGCATGCTGCTTGAAGAAGCTGCACACCTTGGCCCCATTCTCCAGGAGGGGGCGGGAGGAACGCCGGAGCCAGTCAGCCATGGAGGCGCGGGCAGAGTCACTGCCAGGGTGCCCACCCTCATGCGGAGCCTCCTGCTCTCCCACTCGGGTGGCGTAGCCCCAGTTGACCCACCAGTGACTGGCCACATCCTCCAGGGTGGCCCGGCGGGTGGGGTTCACCATCAACAGCCACCGGATCAGGCCACAGGCATCTGGAAGACAAAAGGCAGGTGCTTCAGTTTGGCAGCTCCCAGAATAGGCACTCCCTGTCCCCTGTCCCCAGCTCATCCCCTTTTGAGCTATGACACTGCATACTCCTGGGTCGGATGCGTCCCTTCCAACCTAGGGCTCTATACATGCCTTGGCCCAGGACAGCTCCCCAGTCCAGAGTTCCTGGACTGACTCCTCCAGCTGCCTCTCTGTCCTCTGACCCCTCAGGACTGTGACCCCTTCATAAGCCCTTGTGTGTATGTTGGTGTCTATCCTCTCTCTCTCCATTGAAATTCAACCCTCTGAGGGTAGAGACTGTGTTCAGGGTAAACTGGGTCTCTCACACCCTTCTTCCTGCCTTCTGAGTCATAGTGAAGGACAAAAAGATTTCTGAAGATGAGAACAAAAGCAATAGGAAATGAGACAACTGTAGCAAAGAAGATCTAAGTGAGACCTTAGGAACCACTTCCCAAATATAATCAAACATGCCCCTGTGGGAAAGAAAGAGCTATCCCCTCCTTCCCCAGAGGTCTCAACATTGGACATACGGTGGAGGGTACCCTAACCTACCATGGGCCATGATGGACTGTTGCCCGTTTGACTTTAGTGCCACTGTGTAGTTTCTGCCTTAGGAATGAGTGAAGGACACCCCAGGCCTGGATAAGAACGCCCACACCTCTTACTCACCAGAGGGTTTAGGTGGCTCCCGGTAGGCCCCGTTGCTGATCTGTTTCACTAGGATCTTATGGTCATGCCCATCAAAGGGCATGGTGCCATGCACCAGGATGTAGAGGAGAACACCCAGGGACCAGCTGTCCACCTGAGAGAGATGGGGGAGGTCAGCAGGGATGCCCATACCAGACAGGAAAATGTTACATGCTGGAGAACTCAGAGGCCAGCACACCTGAGGACGACCCACCTCTCCTACCCAGGGGCCAAGACGGGGATGCTGCAGAAGGGGTCTGAGATGTTGTCAATCGCATTTCCTGCGAGGGACAGCCACAAGCACAAGAGCTACAGCCAGGTCATCTCTTCCGGGCTGGGGAAGGGGTGGTTGTGACAGATATCATCTCTACATCACTCTCAGGAGGCTGGACTGGGTGCTGGGAAAGGTAACAGGAATGAGGAATGTGAGGGAGGCAAAGAACTAACCTAGGAGTCAGGAGACCTAAGTTCTAGTTCTAGGGGTTTTTTTGGTTTTTGTTTGTTTGTTTGTTTGAGATGGAGTCTTGCTCTGTTGCCCAGACTGGAGTGCAGTGGCATGATCCTGGCTCACTGCAACCTCTGC